>NC_000004.12:93466835-93769865 GCF_000001405.40 Homo sapiens | reverse complement strand
ATTGTATTTTTGGGGGGCTAGTCTTAGAGATACGAGGAATTTACTTACAAGTTAAACAACTAAGTGAAACAAAATGGTAAGTATCTCTGTGAACTGGTCAAAGGAATCATGGCCTTTAAAAATCACTGAATTAAAATCTATTCTGAGATTTGAGAGAATTTCAAAGCCCATTATGGTATATGAATTTCTAAGTCTTTCAAACACTATAGTCTCCTCTTCACTGATCTGGGGATATCCTAAAATGGAAATTGATATTGATCTTACCAATTTTTATATTTCACAACTTTATTTTTAATCTTCAAGAAACGAAAAAACAAGGACCACCCCCAACCCATTATCCTCCCTGGGATGGTCCTCCCTGGAAATACAGCCTGCTTGTTGATTCAATTTAGAGCCAAATCTCTCAATCAAGTACCTCTTTTGATGGAACCCGGGAGCCTTTCCTCTTGTTCCACCACGTCTCCAGCATGGCTATGAAGCAGGAGAGGACAATTCCAGCAGCCAGGATACAAAAGACCCCTGCAAAGCTCTTTATGTCCAGGGCGCCTCCTTTCTGCTTTGTGTCCACTGACGAGTACAGGTCACACTGGCCATTCTTAGGCCACCATTTGTGCTTCAGGATGTCCATGTCACCATTCTGCTGAAGCTCCAGGATCCTTGGGATAAAGAACATAAGCATGTGTTATTACAGACATAGTTATCGCCCTGGTTCACAACACATCCATTTATAATCCCACCTCTGTAGGATGGTGGCTGTCAAAGGGAAATGAATATATAGATCTGCTTGTTTTAGATGGAATGCTAGGAAACAGAAAGTCATCATTGCTTTGATTCTACAGACAGCATTGCACCACACTGCTTTCCTCTCTCTCTTCACCCATCCCACCCTCCCATCTTCCTCTCTCCTTTTCTTCCTATTCTTCTTCTTCTGGTTTCATTCTATAATTCTAAATATTTTCCTCCTGGTTTGCTTCAGTGTGTTTTTACAATCACAATTCAGAGGCACTGTTTTTATATGCTTTCAAGTTGTTGTAGTTCTGTGTCCCTTTCCTACATCCAGAATGATACTCAGGATCTTAATGCTTTTATGAAGAACGTTTTGCTGCTTAGAGCAAGATGCTGGCGTAATGTCACCCAGCATATGCTACACACAAAGAAATTCAATTAAGAAGACCTATTATTTAACACAGTGTGAGAGGAAGCCTTGGGATAAGTTTCAAGTTGATAAAATACATCTTTTTTGGTTTTTCGCACAACTGATCTAGTTTCCCTTTTAATGCCAAAGGGGAAGTAATCTTACCTTGGAAAACAAGAAGAAAACCTGACCAGAGGCTTTCAGAAGTAGTTAAATTCAAATAGGAAAAACCCTCTTCTTTTTCTTCTGCTGCTTCTTTTTCCCCTCCCCAGAGTCTGAGGGTAGCTGCACACTGCAGCTTTTTAAAGTGTGTTTTTCATAGAGGAATTATTCTCAATTCCCAGTGCTTCTTAGGCTCTACCTGAGGCCAGCCTAGATGTGGCCCTCCTCCAGCTATGCCCTTTTTCACAGGGCAAGGAAGATCAGACCAAGGCTGTGTGCCTGTACAGAGTGTGCATCGTCCTCTGGGTTCCCTGGAATTTCCTGGCCAAACAGCTTAGTGCTCTTCCAGGGCCTGCCAGGCCTATTCCCAGGGTTGTCCTCCTGGCAGAAGATCTTACAGCCACGGGTGCACCATAGCTCTATAGGGTGGAGTTTGTAGAGTGTGGACAGAGCTCAGATGAGTGAGCTCGGGTGTATACAGCCTTGCGTAGGAGACACTTCAGCGTGCAAGTTGGAGCTGCAGGTGGAAAGAAAGGGCCCCAGAGCCCTGTGCTCCTGGGTCAGTTCAGACCTCCTGGCTAGTCACATAGAAACTTAAACCTGGCCTCCCAGGGGTCATGAAGGTATATTTGTCCAGATAAGAACATAGAATATATTATATCAAACAGGTTTTAGTTTAATGCATAATTTTTACATAATTAGACTTGGGGTATGTGAACCTATATTTGTACTCTTGCCCAAGGTCTTGGATTATTTGGGGTGAGACTGCTTACAATTTAAGAGTTCAGAGAATGGAGTTGTAGTGACCTTTTTACCTGTTTCATGTCATCCACATGGCTAGAAGAACAAGCAACATGATAAAGGGAAGAAGATTTTGTGCATTGGAAGTTGGGTCAGTGTTTAATCTGAGTTAAACTAGAGTGAGACCAGCCCTTAAGGCTCTGGTAGAGGGTTGGTCTCAGGTCCCTGTCATCTCTCCCAGACGTTCCCACAGCCTCAGCTCTGGTGCCCCGTGCTGGCAGTCCAGGACTGAGACTGTTCTGAAACCTCCCCCACAACCTGGACCTTTTCTCCTTGCTTCCTGTGAAATGTATCTGTCTAGAGTGTTGCTCTAGAAGAGTAATTAATTTGATTAATTGAATTTACTAAAATGATTATGAATATTAATGGGTTATATGTCACCCTTATTCCAGCTTCCATTCCAGAAAAAGCCATTTGCATTTCCAGAATTTCCAAAAGTGCATTTCACAGCAAACCAGTACCTACAAGACCTCTGTAAGAAAAGGGCCTTGTGGTTATTAATTCTGAGAAACACACTCTTGGGAATTTACAAAGATGTCAGCCTATTAAAGACTCTCAGAAGACCAGCAGAAAAGAAAACGGCATGATTTTGTTTAACTCAGCATTTCCCAAACTTATGACCTTCATTCCCCTTCTCTCATTTTGCTTTCCAAGTAACAGGTTTAAGAAATACACATGGGAAATAATCTCTTGATCCAAAGAAGCAACTACTTGTAGAAATTTCCAGCACTGTGTTAGGCAACACACAAAGATGTAATCATGGTATCAAAATTACTTTCCTGGCCTATTCATGAATATCATTTAAATGATGTTGGTATTGCTCGTCGATAGGTGTAAAGCTTCAGTTATGCAAGAGGGAAAAGTTCTTGAAAACTACTGTACAACATTGTAACTATAGTTAGCAATACTGTATTGTACATTAAAAATTTTCATAGAATAGCACCCATGTTAAGAATTCTTACCATAATAATAAAAAATAATGGCACATCCCTTATGTATTTGCCCACCTAAAGGCTCTAGGTAGTCAGAGCACCATTGATTACCTTGGAGGAAAAATGTAGTCATCTTTGAACAAATAATTCTTTTTAAATTTGAGTTTATAAGTACTTGTAGATATAAAAGGCAACTACAGCAACATTTGCTTAATGAGAATACATCTGGGCACAAAATGAGATCCTGTTATCCTGCTCTCCTATTTGCATCACACCATATTGGTCAGTAGCCTTGTGATACGGTTTGGCTCCGTGTCCCCACACAAATCTCACCTTGTAATAATCTCCACGTGTCAAGTGCAGGACAGGTGGAGATAATTGAATCATGGGGGTGGTTTCCCTCATGCCGTTCTTGTGATAGTGAGTCTCACGAGATCTGATGGTTTTATAAGGGGCTTCCCCTTTGCTCAGCACTCATTCTCTCTCCCGCTGCCTTGTGAAGAGGTGCCTTCCACCATGATTGTAAGTTTCCTGAGGCCTCCCCAGCCATGGGGAACTGTGAGTCAATTAAACTTCTTTCTTTATAAACTACCCAGTCTTGGGTATTTCTTCATAGCAGTGAGAGAACGAACTAATACACTGTGAAAGTGTAAGAATTTTCCTTCATAGCACTTATCATCATTTATAATTACTTGATCAGTCTGTTCCATTTTCGAGAGTGTGTACTCATCCTCCATATTGCCTCCTACAGAGCAGGTGCATATTTATTGATGGAATATACTCAACACAGTTTTGGTAAATGAATCCTAAACTCTGATATCAGATCCTATTCTTTTTTCTTACGATTGATGCTGTTTTCTAATTTATTCCATTCCTGTTTTATTCATCTATCCATTTAATAAACAGTTGAAGAATGACTTCATTCCAGACATTTCCTTGGGTACAAAATTTATTCTAAACCACGACTGCACATTCCACCGGAGAGGCTTGAGTGACACTGTGAAGCCATTTTTTTAATGCCCTCAATTCATGTTCATTTATTCCTTCCTTCATTCAGGAACTTAATTACTGCCTACACTTTCTTCTCAGTGGTATTTGGGGCCCTTGCATTTCATTTTATTTAATTTTGTCTCCTTATTCTTTCTAAACTTGGAAAATATTTTGACTTTAGAAATCATTATTGAAATATATATATATGCCTCATATATATATATATATATATATATAATACCTCACCTATTTAAATTCTAATAGGAATTAAAAGCCTTAAACCCAAAAAAAATCATTTAATTGCAGAATTTTTAGGTTCAGCCAGCTGAGCGATAGGAGATCATCGAGGGGAAAGAAGGAAGCACCCTCTCTAGGTGCTTCAAGTACGAATATGCCACAAAAATCTCTTTGTATTGTTTATTTTATGCTCACGGCAGCACAAGTGGCTGGGGCATTGCAGGGAGATTTCATCTTTGGGGATGTACAGAGAAATTGGACCATCTGACCCCTCAGTCACCCCTGACAACAGATTCCAGGAATACAGGCTGGCATGGGCTACAAGTGTTGGAAGGGAATGAAAGTGTTCTCTAAGTCCAGAGTTCTGTCATAACATTTTGCTACAAAATCTAGTGTTCCTGGAAATTCCATCAGAATGGTCTCACTATGGCCTCCTTTTTATGATTTAACAAAAACCCAATTTAAAGATTATGTAAAGCAAGTGTGGTAAAATATAATGCACTGCCTGGAAGATGAATAGGATGAATTCTTATAATAAGCAAAGAGATATGTTCCCTTCAATCTTCCCAAAGCACTGGCCCTTTTAAATTGAACTTGAAAATCTAAAGAATTGTACCTTGTAATTATAAGCAACAATAATGTGTATGTATGTGTGCGAGTGTGTGTGTGTGCGCGTATGTATGACAATGCAAAAATTGAGTTGCAAAATTCTTAATAAACACAAGAAAAACTTTTGAGTTTATGGAACAATAATGTTCTGTTTGGCGTGCAATTTCCACAAGATGGCAGTATTTGCTCATAGAGAGCAAAGAGTTACTGTGGTTATTGTTAATCTATGGGATTGAAGTGCTGAAGTATAGACTTTGTGGGGCTGTAAATACTTAAACTATTAGAAATAAGTTTAGCTATTAGACTGTGATGAACTAACGGCTAAAATCTCTTTTTGGAGTATAGTCAGAAAAATTCCTGCTATTTTTACACCATGGTGATGCATAACAACACTTACTTTTGAGGGTCATTGTGGTGTGAATTAATAAGACCACACGTGACGATCTCAGTGAGCAAGATGCATGAAAAGCTCATTACCTGGCACGCGGAAGGCTATTGCAACTCTAAAGCTAGACTTATTATTGTCACATGTATCACTATTGTTCTTTCTTTGGACCTGTTCCGGTACATACTTCTTAATGGAGAATTACATGCCCATATGATCAATGAATGATTGATTCACTGACACGGACATCTCATTTCCTTTTTTTCATCCAAAATATTAAAACATTTGTGATCCCATTGAACAGAAAAATTTTAGAAGTCCATAAAACTTAATTGCAATTTGAAAATTGCACTGATTTCTTTATTGGTATAAATGAGGAAATTTCAGGGGAAGGGAGTAGAGGAATCAAAAGATCCTTCTTTCATATTAAAATTAAAGAAATCCAACAGGTTTAGGCATTCATCTTGAAGAGCCTTTTTAGCCTCATTTGTGTTTGAGACTCACACTAATTTTTGATCCCTTACCATTTTTAGTCACTACTCTAGGAAATGATTTTCAAATTAATTTATTTGTTACAAAACAGGTTGCTGAAAGTTGGACGCAAATTTCTAATCCCACATAGGTCACTCTGATTTTGTCCTTAAATACCATCGCTGTCAATAAGTTCCTCTCAAACTTTTCTGGAATCATGGCCCATAGGTGAATTCCTACTGAACCAAACTAAAAAAGTTACTGGTTACTGGTTACCTAAGAAAAATGACACCTGCCTTTTTAGTCATTTCTACTAGGAAATTAGAATGGGAAAGGTTGCAGACATTATTGCTTCCCCGTCTGTTTCTCCTCCCCCATTTTATGGATGAAGACGCTAAGTAATCCGGCATAATGATTCCCTAGATTTTTCACATGGAACACACAATCTCACTGCTGTAGAGTTTAAATGACTTTTTAAGTTGCTCACACAGATAATAAATAGTTGAATTGGGCTTAGAACTCAGGTCTGCCTTCCAGCACATTTCTCTCCATTATCTCACACAGCTTCTAATATGTAAGTATGCAGAGAAAAGCTATCTTCTTTAGTTTCAGAGATTTCTTAAACCCTGAGTAAACGTCTCATCAATATGTTTCCTCTAAACCAAACAATATAATTATAGTGTGATAGCAAATGTATTCATGCTACAATTTGGGTATGCAGAGAAAATGTAGCTTTTCTCTATAACTTAATTGATCTTAGGAGGACTGTGCCTACTGAGCAGTGGGGAAAAAACTAAATTTAGCCCAATATGATTTAAAATTTAATCTCATCTAATAATTTAACATGTCTCTAGCTTTAGCTCAATCTACTTGAGAGAATTACTCAATTCTTCCCATTTCTTCTCTTTTCCCTTACTCTTTTTCAAAATGGTATCAGGATTTATGGAGGACAGCATTATATCCCTGAAATTAGGGATTTAGGGGAAAGGTGGTGGCTGGTCTCTTGCAGGTCCTTGAATTCGCTTTGGCAGCTCTCCTTTGAGGTGGGATGGGCTTGGGTTCAGTTTTAGAGATTAATAGGTGACTGCTGCTAAAGTCTGCAAAGGCTATAGGTGCTAAAAGTTGGCTAATGTAGGGCTTATGGGCTCCTCCCTGCTGACTCAGCCTCCTTTGGTTTGTTGGGGTGCTCTACATCCTTCTGAGCCTCTGCCATTTTCTTTATCCAGCCCCTGATGATTCTGTAGCCCTCCAGATGGTATGATGACCTCACCTTGTTATTCACTGTGGAGGGGCCCAAGGCAGGTCCATATGCTCTAACCCCGCATGCGAGGCACAGGAAAGAAAGGGAGGCCTGGGAATGATTATTGAACCTGTGCTTTTTCCTGACCCTGCTGCTCTGCATTCTTAATGATCTGAGGTCTTCTCTGTTGTTAAAGAGCCTGGTGTGCCCTGGGAACTCCCCCAGAGACCCTAAAGGGAAGAGAAGCATTAGGTCTTCTACCCTTGTTGTGCCTTTCAATCTATCTAATGTCTTCTTGCCTTTCTCTTCTCCTGACCTCTGTTAGAATCCTCTGGTCAGAAGAAGTAAGGCTTCCTTTCCTCTCCTGAATATCCTTCTTACACCCTAGGTCTTCAAGCTTCTTGTCCTGTCATAGTGAAAGATAATTATAGCTATGTAACGCCAGAAACTCTATGATACAAGACCTTTTGGTACTTCTTCAATTTGGAAGTATTGAGGCAATTTGGGGGTAGAAATTCGTGAGGATAAAATAACCATTTTAATATTTCAAAAATATTTTATCAGTACCTACTTATGAGTTTTATGTAACCAAAATTAAAAAGATATTTAGGAGAGAGTCCCATTACTCAATACTGTTTAATGTCAGTTATCACTGAGAAAGAAATTTTGAAATTTCTGAAAAAAAGTTATTTTTTTCACACACTGAATAAATCTATTTTGGCTCATAATATCCACATTATTAAATTCATTTTCTGGGTTTTCACAAAATTTTCCTCTCCATGGTTACTGAGAAAGTATTAATAATAGCATGCAGATGATTTTCAGAAAAAACTTTAGCTCAATAGGTTTTTCATTCATTCATCAATTTTTTCATCCTAGCTTTGGAAAACGTAGGTAATCTTGCATCGAAGCAGAAGCACTTCTCAAAGATTAAGATTTAAACAATTAAGCATAGTGGCACTTTGATTGGCATATCTAATATTACAATTTGCATATCAGAGTTGTAAAAATCAATTCTATCAACTTCCTGTGAATCAATCATCAATCGATTATTTTTCTTAAGCAAAATCTCTTAGTGATCAGTTGGTAACATTAAGTGCAACAAATATTTATTGATAGCATCTAATACCTCAGTAATATCAAATAGTGTAAGGGAAACTATTAGGAGCTATTTCCTTTGTTTAAATTGAACTTTTAACTATTTCTTCTAGCTAGTTGAGCCAAATGGCAGTTGCTTAATTTCAATCCACCAAGAGTTTCTATCATATAGGTTAATAGTACTTCATGGTATTTCAAATAAATTCATAACTATCATCTTTTAGACTAGAGGTCAGCAAGCTTTTCTTGTTAAGGGTCAGATAGCCAATATTTTAGACTTTGTGGCCCATATGGTGTCCATCACAACTACTCAACTCTGCCTTTGTAGTGTGAAAGCAGCCGTAGAAAGTAAGTAAACAAGTGGGCTTTATTTGTAAAAACAGGCAAGCTGCCAGAATGACCTTCTGGCTATAGTTTCTGACTTATTTTGGAAACCTCAGAGAAAATAACTCTATAAGCCAATAAGTTCTCATTTCACTGATGAAGATATTGAAGTTGAGGTGGCTTAAGTGATATAGCAAGTCCAATCATTGGAAAGTATGAGTCCGTTTTAGAACCAGAGATGGTGACTCCTATTCCAGTGCTCTTTCAATAGTGTATTAATATGTATTAACATGTAGTAATATCTGTTATGACATGTGCATCTTTAAATGAGTACAGAGTGATCATGTGTTGAGTCCACATTTCACCACGCTGAGAGAGAATTTCACATATGCACTGTATATGAACAATGGCCACATAATCCTTCAAGTGAATTTTGAATTTCTTTGGTTTTCTGATTATATTGTAAAATATATCTGAGCATTTATTCTGAGATTGGAAGTGCCCATGTTCCAAAAGATGACTGCCTCACTTATTCAAGATGAGGTAGTATTTGTCTTCTGAGGGTTGTATTTCCTGAATCATTTTCTAGGCAATGGGAGCTTGAGCCTGAAGTCAAGGCGATATGAGCAGATATTACACTCCTAAAAAAAGAAATTCCAGGGAAGTGATTATGATTTACTAAGAACGGGTAAGACAATGAACTGAGGCAGAAAAGGTTGTGTCTCTTTTAATCAAAGATATGAAAATGGTTTTTAATTATGTGTGACCAGAAGTACTGTAAATTAATTAGTAGTTTTTTAGAATTGGTAAAGAATTACTACACATGCTTAATGAGAATGACAGTGTGTTAGTACTGGACCTGGGAGATGGGATCACATTTAACTCCTGCCGGTGAGGTGAAGTGGTCTGCCCAGCTCCCCACTGCAGGGCTGAATACACAGGCTGGATTTAATTATAAACTCAGTTATTGCTGAAGGCTGCTGCAGAGCAGAGACCTGTTTAAAAAGAGAAGTTTCCTGTGTTGCTTCAAACCTGATATGTTACTTTCAAATTTGAAAAAGGTAATTTGATAAAGTACTTAATCGGTCAGATCTGGTTTATTCACAAAACAATGTCTATGTCCTTATGTAGTTACTAGTGTCTTCCTAAGGCATCCATTCTGTGTATGGGGAAAAAGAAACAACTGTGAACTTTATTCAGAGTACCTATTTTCCAAAAGAATAGCAAAAATAAACACATGCATGATGCTGCAGTTTATAAAGGCCTTTTCAAAACAGTGCATATTATTTGATTTACTTCTTAACCTTGTGAGGGAGGAATGATATTGATTGACTGATTGATCACTTCAAACCCCTCCTCCCTTCGACCCTGTACCTCTTACTCTTGTAACAGCCTTTAGGAAGTCTGATATTACTAATTCTCCTTTTACAGGTGAGGAGATTGAGGCTCAGAGGTGAAGAAAAGTTTCCCAAGGCCACATGGCTGGAAAGTGATACATTCTGCTTTCAAACTCAGGTCTTCTGGCTTCTGTGCTTTTTTTGAATACACCATCAAGATCTTTATTATCTCTAAAGAAAATCTGTATAAATGGAAGCACCTCTTTATTTCCTGCTTCTTTATAAACTGAGAGTCTGCTACTCAAGTCCCTTGGCTAACACGTGTTCCACTGTATCCATTTACAAACATTACACTTTGTATGACACATCTTTATGTCCCCAGAGAGCCACATGAGTATCTCATGAGTTCATTAATCGCTTTGTGATTAAAGGTCAGATGAATTCATTATCATGGGGCACTTAGGGTGCTTTGCCAATGTTATCAGAACAAGGAAGTGTGTTCAAAATAAGGAAGTGGTGTTCTGGAACCTTGTCCTTACTTAATGTAAGTCAACACATTGTGAAGTTTCCAATCTGTGTTGTGTAGGCTCCTGTAGTTATTCCAATTAACTTTTTTCTTAGAGTTTAAACAATTCTCCATAAAAGCTACACAATTAAATAACATTTAACTGTTTTGAAAAGCACATTGTTTAATCTTTAACATTTAGAACAACATTTATGTTCAAATTTTGATGAAATTTTTGTTGGCTCTAAGACCCATCATAATTTATAGACATGTTATTTGGTAGAAAATGAACCTTAAATTTGAAATATATGGTGCCCATTCAAATTGATCTCTCTAGGTTAGAGTCATCTCCTTCAACCATAAGTCTTGCACTGCCTAAGGGGGCAAAATCAGCCCTGTTCGCGGAGAAGCAATTGCTTAAAAAATCAAATTAGCAACATGACGGATCTCAAGACTTTGGTGACTAGTGAACTTTAATTATTATATATTTTATGTGTTTATGCTGGCAGTAAAAGTCAAGCACTCATTACAGAAATGGCAGACATGATCTTTCATAAAATGAGTACTGGGCGGCAAATGAATAGATAATCAGGGTAATGAAAGCAAGCCAGAAAGATGCTAGAGAGCTGAGAAGACCCAGACAATGGCTCCCACTGAGATAGAGGGCATAATTGCAATTGGAAAGAGAACGCTTTTGGTGATCTTTTAAAATGTCAGCTTCATCCTTAAGCTCAGTGTGATATTTGGGTTATAGGGTAAAGGAGAAAAAATATTTCATTCTGCAGTGAGAAACTGGCAACGATCATCTCTGTTTAGAGTCACTCTTCATTTTTCTTATGCAAAACTTTCAAATGCATGTTTATGAAAAGGTGTCATAAAGTCAAACTTATTTTGCTTTGTGTATAGTATATATGTTATGCATTTATGTATATTTTCATATCCTTGAGTCTGACAATTAACCTTTAAAATAAGTGAGATCCTGAGTTGTATGCTATTTGTAAAATGGATAAAGATTGTGATATGCAGCTTTGACATACTCTTAGGAAAGAGAAGATTAAGAAGGATACTTTTTGAAGAGACAAACATTTTCCTTAGCATTTGCACAAATTCTAAACTTCTAAAAAGTTGAATAATAATTTAAATATAAGGAAGGAATTCATTATTCTGAGAACTACTCTAGTAGGCTTTAATAGCGGGAGAATTATTTTATGATGCAAACAACATCTAAGTTAGAGGTTGTACACTGATACATATTTTAAAAAACTCAGAGCATATTTGTATTACAGTTTGTGGATAAATTCAGTGCACATAATAAAAACTCTCAGCCAGGAGTGAGTTAGATCATCAACAATAGTACAACTGTGGGAAAATAACATTACTGTTTTACCCACATTTTCATAGATGGGAAGTCTAAACTATTTTTTTAAATTATATTTTAATTTTTAGATGTATTGTATTTAGCATTATTACAGCTCTGAAATGAAGTGCTTCAATTTTCTTTTTTTAGTAGAGTGTTTAGACAGTAACATAACCTTCTCTTGAGGTGGCCTAGAATCACAGGAGAACAGTTTCTCTTCATTTTAGACATTTTAAAAAGTGAATTCTACCTGCAAACTTCTTTCCATCATGAATCCAAATACGCTATGAGGTTCCTTTTTCTTTTTCTTTCTTTTTCTTTTTTTTGAGACGGAGTCTCGCCCTGTTTCCCAGGCTAGAGTACAATGGTGCGATCTCGGCTCACTGCAACCTCTGTCTCCCGGATTCAAGCAATTCTCCTGCCTCAGCCTTCCAAGTAGCTGGGATTACAGGCACCCACTACTATGCCCAGATAACTTTTGCCTTTTTTAGTAGAGATGGGGTTTCACCACATTGGCCAGGATTGTCTTGAACTCCTGACCTCAGATGATTCACCCGCCTCTGCCTCCCAAAGTGCTGGGATTATAGGCGTGAGCCACTGCAACTGGCTAAGGTTTTATAAATGGAGGAAAAAATCCCAAAACTGTTCCTTGGATGTTAACCTCCAATTCCAGTACTGGATAGTTCCACTGCAGGGTGGTCACATGCCCGGAATGGGGCAGCACAAGAGAAGGCACCGTGCAAAGGTCACCAGACCTTGGTTTTAGAAGGATGGTCAGTTTAGGAACAACATTTTGGAGTAAGTGTTGTCTTAGATGAGAAATTAGGAATTAGTAGAACAGGTGATGGCATGGAGATTGGGAAAAGAGTACTCTAGGTAGAGGAAGCAGTTTGTGCAAAAGTCCAGCAGGAAGAAAGTACAGGCATTCTGAAAAGACGAACGGAGTTCCCTGAGACTGAGCATGAATATGGGGAGAACCAGAACCACGCTGGAGAAGCAAGGCCTGTAAGTTATTTAAGGAGTTGAGACTTGATCTTGAATTTAGTGGTGTTTTTCTTTCTTTTTTTTGGATGTTAGCCTCCTTGAGGGCAGATACTAAACTATGCACTATTAATTTTGTATTTCTAACCTCTGACACATAATATCCTTTAGTAAATATGAGTGAATAAGTGAATGACAAGAGGGCATTCTTTTCTCATGCTTCTGTGAAGAACATCTCTCAGGACTCAGATTCCATCTCCTCTGCAAAAATGTTCCTGAGAACTGCCCATTTAGTATTGAACCATACACTGCCTTGAGACGTCTCTGTTTTCACTCTGAATTATTATTTATATTTGATGCATGTTTTTCTTCTGATGCACTTCTTATATTCTCAATCAGGCTATCAACTCCTTGAGGACAGGAATCTTAAAATATGTATTTCATCCTATTCATTACACCACAAGCATTGTGACTTTCCTTCTGTATTCACTCAATAAATATTTGTTAACTTGATTTGTCATGGACGTAAAAAACAAAAGCACTCAATCTCATGTTATTATGGACTGAATGTTTATGCCCCTCCAAAGTTTATATGATGAAGCGCTAAGCCCCATTGTAATGATATTTTGAGATGGGGCCTTTGGGGGGTAATTAGGGTTAGATGAAGTCAGGAGAATGGGGACCTGATTTGAAGGGACCAGTGCTCTTATCAGAAGAGACACCATCATGTTTGCTCTCTCTTTACATGAAGAAGACGTCCTGTGAGCACACAGCAAGATGGCAGCTTCCCTACAAGCCAAGAGAAGAGGCTTCAGAATGAAATCTACCTTGCTGAAACCTTGCTTGATCTTGGTCCTCTAGCCTCAAGAACTGTGAGAAATAAATTTCCATTGTTTAAGCCACCCAGTCTGTGGCATTTTGTTTGGAAAGCCTGGGCAGACTAAGAAACATAGATTGTGAAATACGCAGCACAGCAGCAATGTCATGATTGCAGAGTGATGGGTGTCACTTAGGGGCCACTTTCCCTTTTAGCACTTTTCCAATTTTGGAATGTTCCTTCTGACTTTCCTCCTTCTCCCTCTGAATCATATCTGGAGTGAAACTAATCTTAGACCCAGAAGCTTTAGAATGTATGCTTCTTCTTCTCCTCGTTAATAAGTAAGATGTTTTTAAAAACTAGGATACATATAAATGTTATATCCTTCTTTTTAAAAATATCACTTCATAATTTGCAAAGCATTTCTATTGTCATTATGGTGTTTCACTTTTTACCACACAGTCAATAAATTAAAACAGGTAAGTACCAAATTTTATTATTTACTTTAGCAAGCAAATTCTTCATATACAAGCTTTCATTAACTTAACTCCTGTGTTGTGAACATAATAAGTTAATAAAGATTAACTATGTAGACAAAAAGCAAGAGAGATTTAAACTACTGAAGAAACTGAATTGTTTTCTAGCACTTCACATATGATAACTTGATGTGGCAAACCTGATCAACTACTTAAACTGATTATGTCATTATTTAACACAAGATCTTCAAAAACTTTGTTCTAAATGGTGATAGCTAGCTTCACTTTAGTTGGTAGAAGCCGATCTTCGTTAAAATTGTAACATCATTAAATGTATAGCATTTTATTTTTAGGTTAATATAAAACATCACCTCTTTGGGCATATGTTAACACTATTTCCTTAGTAGGAATAAGGATTCCTTAAGTACACATGTAAATTTTAAATAGACTACCTGGATTCCTAAGTAGTTTCAGGAATAAATCTGATTAGTAAGCTAGAAGTGTTAGCTATCTTTTTTTAATAAGGCAGCAAACTGAGGTGATCTGACATAAATAGTTATTTATAAAAAATTACATAATGTGATACAAAGTAGCAGTGAGGCTCGTCTAATTCCGTGCAGAAAGGATAATTGATGTGTTACTGCTCTACTTCACAATTTAGTTTTCCCACGCATGGGAGATATGCTGGGAATTAGTCTATTCCATCTTCTTAATGAGACTTATCTATTACTTTAGATAATGTATCTATTTTCTTCAACCAGCAGCACCAACTGCTTATAGGAGTGAAGTTCTCAGCAGTTATTCGAAAGAAAATTTACCAATAGATATAAAAGGAATAGCCTACCTTTCTATGTGTCTATGTGGCTAGACAAATGAAATGGTGTGGATACGTTGCTGTTATGAAAGGGATGTTACTTGCACCATTCCTGTGCAAGTTCATGAGAACTACTTGCTATTTTCCATGATAATGGCAAGAGCTACATGCACAACGTTTACTTACTTGATGATATTATGGGATGCTTCAATAACTCAGAGAAGAGGCTTGATAAAAACTGAATGCCATTCAGTCCTGATAACAATTGTCAGAGGGACCAAGAGGCTGGTCTCTTTATTCAGAAATAGGTCTGGTAATACTGTAAATGTGTATGTACAAAATGCAGGCAGTTGCAAAGCCCTCTATTTCTCCACTTTACCCCAACCCTTGCATAATCAGCTTCTCAAATCTGTTTTAAACCTTTATGAATTAGAAATGAAAGCAACCCAGCTAAGTAGGCATCTGAAATACTTATTATAGGAGCCCTAATGAATAATTGTAGAAGTGCAATTTACCCATGTTTGAATAGCCAGTTATATTTGTCAGCAACTAAATTGCTCAGAGTATTGGTAAATTGTGGTGAATCTTTACCTTGTATATGGTGGTAAGCAATACTGGATACTACACTCTGTCTATTTGTTTCTAGATGAGAACAAAAAGGTATACCGTTTGATAAAAGTATACTGATTTAAAACTCAAGCTATATAGATCACTGCAAATAATGGCATTCCATATATAACAAATGGACATACTGTCATAGAAAGAAGAGTAACGTGAGAACAGATCCACTTTGTAGATATTATTACTCTTATGGTCTTTCTATGAGAGGCTACACTCTATGAGATAATAGTTGATGCATTTTGAAGTAATTTTTCTGTAGTTGTGATGAAAAAAGAGGACTTGTACTGTGACCCAATATTCCCAGTAGTGCCTGAGCTGCAACACACATTACAGAAAATTACAGTCATGTACCTCATAATGACATTTTGGTCACTGACAGACCATATATATAAGAGTGGTCCCATAAGATTATAACACCATCTTTTTACTTTATCTTTTTATGTTTAAATATGTTTACATACATAAATACTTACCATTGTGCTACTATTACCCACAGTCTTCAGTGCAGGTTTGTAGACTAGAAGAAATACACCTATACCATATAACCTGGGTTTCATAGGCTATACCGTCTAGATTTGTGTAAGTACACTCTGCGATGTTCATAAAACAATGAAATCACCTAACAATGCATTTCTCAGAATGTATCCCCATCACTAAGTGATCCATGACTGTATAAAAATTGATTCCAAATTCCTTATGGCATTAAGCACTAAATTACAGCTCAGTGAGTCTTGATGCTGGCCCAAAGGGCTCTCAAGATTCCCCAGGGACTTTCATATATTGGCACTATTCACGATAGCAAAGACTTGGAACCAACCCAAATGTCCATCAATGATAGACTGGATTAAGAAAATGTGGCACATGTACACCATGGAATACTATGCAGCCATAAAAAGGATAAGTTCATGTCCTTTGTAGGGACATGGATGAAGCTGGAAACCGTCATTCTGAGCAAACTATCGCAAGGACAGAAAACCAAACACCGCATGTTCTCACTCATAGGTGGGAACTGAACAATGAAAACACTTGGACACAGGGTGGGGAACATCACACACTGGGGCCTGTCATGGGGTAGGGGGAGGAGGGAGGGATAGCACTAGAAGATATACCTAATACAAATGACGAGTTAATGGGTGCAGCACACCAACATGGCACATGTATAAATAAGTAACAAACCTGCACGTTGGGCACATGTGCCCTAGAACTTAAAGTATAATAATAATAATAAAAAGAATTTTTCTAAGATGCATAACAAGATAAGCTGGTACTGGGGAGAACATCTCAGAGTATGGAAGAAAGAGAAGAGTGGACATTACAACCTAATGTTACTAATCCTAGCCTGAGAACTTTGGGTAGAGTTCTTAAGCTTCTAAATAAATATTTTTTAAACATTTGGATTCCACTTTCTTTTAGCTCTGGGTGAAGGCTGCCTGTAGGCATGTAGATAGGAGGTGTAGCAAACAGCATTCAAGAAGATCATATCTAACAATCTGATGGTAGGGTCAGTTTAGTCTCGGCATCCCTCTGAGAATCAGTGATAACTATTTATTTTCTCTCCCTTCTTGTCCTACCCCCAGGCCATTCTTATCACTTCCACTTATGATAAGTCAGGGTATGATCCATATAGAAAACTAACGGTTCCAAAGACTCCAAAAGCATAACACTGATATACCAGGTGTTGAGTGAGCACAAAATAAATGGACAATATGGATTTTACCTGCAAAACAATGTGCAAGTACACAGATAGATGGAAGGATACACATAATAAATAATTTATGACCAAAGAGAAGTCAAAGAATGATAATGAGGTGTGGATAAGGTTTAGGAAATTTTAAGCAGGGAAAATAATTAAAGGACTGAGATTTTTGGAAAAGGAGAATGTAATAGTTAAGAGTATGAGTATTGGCCAGGCGCGGTGGCTCATGCCTGTAATCCCAGCACTTTGGGAGGCCGAGGTGGGCAGATGATGAGGTCAGGAGATCGCGACCATCCTGGCTAACACAGTGAAACCCTGTCTCTACTAAACGTACAAAATATTAGCCGGGCGTGGTGGCAGGTGCCTGTAGTCCCAGCTACTCAGGAGGCTGAGGCAGGAGAAGGGTGTGAACCCGGGAGGCGGAGCTTGCAGTGAGCCAAGATTGCACCAGGGCACTCCAGCCTGGATGACAGAGCAAGACTGTGTCTCAAAATAAATAAATAAATAAATAAATAAAAGAACAGTATGAGTATTAGTTAGGAAAACGTGGGTGAAATTCTGTTATCATTACTTCCTGACTATGTACTGGCAAGATAACATGATCCCTCTGAGCTTCAGTTTTCCTAATCCCTGGAATGGAATATTTATCTTAAATTGTATTGTATATGCAAAGTGTTCACCACATTATGTGGTATATATTAAGTTCTCCATACCAGGCAGCTATTGTTATAATCATTATAAAGACTAATGTGGTACAGCCACAGTAATACAGTGGAGTCCATTTGCAATAGGTTTTCAGTTTTTCCTTTTAGAACCAAACATTGACATGAACAATGTATAAGTCCAAACACAGTGCTGCCTAAGGTCAAGTGCCCATTCTGATACTCTAGCCAAAAAAAAAAAAAGAATGTTCAGGTGTGCAATGGCCTGAATGTGTCCTCCCCAAAATCATAGCATGCAGTATTGGGAGTATGGGTAAGAAAGCAGGCAGTTGTGGAAAGCCTAGGAAAATAAGGAGGCGGCAAGGAATGACAGCATGAAGCTTTTAGGAGGGCAAGCCGGGTTACAGGCCTTGAGAAGACAGTGGGGACAGCCTCAATTTCAGTATCACCCTTTAGCACATTCTTAACCGTGTTTTCGCTAACCTCTCACTGACCTGGGTTTAGTTTGAGGGACAGAATGTGATTTGGGGTGAGGACACTTTCATTTCAATACAGCTAGCTCACTCTCCAGATCTCCTGTCAAGTTGAGACAGAGGATGCCACGGAAGGCCCTGTCACTGTACAGCAAATTCACAGCTGCACAGGAAGCAACACAGTAAATCATTGTCCTTCTCATGAAGGCTGCAATCAATAATGCCACAGGAGCATTTCCCCCCAAGAACCAGAAACTGCCTGGAACTGTGGGAGACCCATTGCAATACTGAGAATTTGATGTGGAAAAATGAGAGGAATAAAAGAGTTCACTCACCAAGAAGAAAAACAGGTGAAAAGCAACACCAATTAACTTTAATTATAGAGTCTCATTCTCACCCTAGGGGAATTCATATATTCAGATGCCAGCTACAGATCAACAAAGAGCAAATGGATAGATCTGTTGTTATTTATGAGAATCTGACTCCTAGACTTTTCATGAGATCAAATTTGAAATTTTATACTTGGCAAAAGAAACAAGGTTGTTAACAGACATGAAGAATTCACAATAGTTAATGATCCTATTGTCAGTGATATTAAAAATTCACTTTTATTGATAATGTCAGTGCATTTTCATTTATATAAGCTTCTGGGAATTTAAGAAGAATGACCCTAGCCTAGGTATAAACTGGCCTTGGAAATTGCAGTGAGAGATATTGTAGCATAATGGACCCTCAGTTTAATTCACCTCTAGTTATCCCTGTAAAACATGTTACAACTCTTCCAACTTTCTCCACATTTCCCAAACCTTGAACTGTATTTTCACCTGTTTGATTCTTAGCAGAAGATAATATTTCATCCTTATTGAGAAGATCACTGGCTAGGAACTAACTCATCTCTTTTAAGTGACACCACTCTTTCTTCCTTCTATCCTAACTCTTATAAAATGTGTCTCGATGCCTGGTCAAGACCACCTTTTTGTTTTTTTTGAGACGGAGTCTTGTGCTGTCACCCAGTCTGGAGTGTAGTGGCGCGATCCCAGCTCACTGCAAGCTCTGCCTCCCGGGTTCACGCCATTCTCCTGCCTCAGCCTCCCGAGTAGCTGAGACTACAGGGGCCTGCCACCATGCCCTGCTAATTTTTTGTATTTTTAGTAGAGACCGGGTTTCACATGGTCTTGATCTCCTGACCTTGTGATCCACTCACCTTGGCCTCCCAAAGTGCTGGGATTACAGACGTGAGCCACCGCGCCTGGCCAAGACCACCTTTTAACAGAAAGCCTTTTATTTCCAATTGTACGTGACTATTCTAGGGATTTCCTACTGGGTGATCATTGGAATCACTTGAATTTCCTTGGCTACAAGTCAGAGATTCTTATTTACTATTTTTGGGTTGGTGTCTGGGAATCTATATTTTTAAACAGCACTTTCCCAAGGGGATTCTGATACTAAAGCAGGTTTGGAGAAACCACTAATTGATCCATCTTTTGAACTTTCCTTGGAAGTTTTCTTATAATTTTGTGCTTTGTTCCAACACTAAAGTAATGTGTTTTATCTCTTTGAAAGGATTACAAGCTCCTTAGGCCAGGTAATGGTGTCTTATAGATTTTGTGTGTTCTGTAGCACCAACTACAGTTGTTTGCACAGAGGATGCGTTCGATCAATTTGCTGAATAAAAAGCAAAGCTCAAGAAAGGGAACTATATAATGTGTGCTCACCAATGGCAGTAGTAGTCATGATAGTTAACATGTCTCACATTTATTGAGCACCTATCTCTTCACCTGCATTGTTCACTCTGTAGCAATTCAGTTATATAATTCTCGAAATCACCCTGTGAGGTAGTTACTGACTTTATCTCCATTTTTCTATATTTAGAAACTCAGGCATAAGGGAGTGAAGTAATTTGTGTTAGCTTAAACAACCAAAGACTTTTTTGTTTTGTTTTGTTTTTGGCTAAGAGATGGAGAGCAAAAAGCATTGTGAGGGTTTCTTAAAGAATCATTACTTAGCTCTGTAGAGGGGGATGACGCCACTTTGGCAAAAGTGGTCAAAGAAAGTGTCATAGCGGAGGTGGCTATTTGACTAAGGCTTTATGTTTATAACATGTAGAGAGTGGGTGTATGAGCATTTCAGGAGAGGGCATGGTATGAATAGCATGGTGGTAGACTAACAGCCTCGGTTTGCCTCTCTGGTCCTTTGTCAGCTGGAGGAGGCTCAATGCCACTTTCTCCCTCCTGTATATGTTTGAATCAAAGAGTGAAAAAGGGGCAATGAGTGGCAGGCCAGCTCTATGAAGCACAGAAGCTATGATTGTTTTCCTGTCAGTCACTGAACTTTCACTTTCCCCTTGAAGAGTCATCCCAGCAACACTTCTGTCTCCTTCCTCATCAATGCCTTATTTTGTAAACAATCATTTCCCTATATCTTGCAACTTTTATAAACTGTCTTTTAATTCAGTCATTCCTCTAAAAGCCCTTGTGTCATAAAGGAAATGAGGACATTTTGAACAATACCTAAGGGCAAATTTAAACTAACAAAATAAAACAAAACTTACATGTTTTTAAAAATCCCCTAACCTCTGCATATTCTCTCTTCTTCTTTCCCGCACCTCAGCCACCCATGCATGCATTTGCTCACACACAGTGAAGGAGGAATAAAGCAGGGATCCCCACCCCCACCCACTTTTGCTAACTTACTAATGCAATGAAGAAAATCATCAAGACAAAGTCAGTAGTTTGAGCTGAGGCCAAATGATGTGACTGTAGTGGAAGAATACCCCTACCTATGCAATGGTGGCTCTGGTTTGCTTAACATTTATTACTTGGTAGGAGTTCTTGCCAACTACAATGAATTATAAAGATACAATGCATTTGTCACAATGATCTATGTTTTTCTTTGGGCTTGTTCCTTAACATAAAAAAAAAAAGCAAGAAAAGTAATTCAGTACTCCTCCTTGCTTTGTCCCCTTATTGTCCCTGTCAGGCTTCATATCATGCCAGACCTGGCAAGAAGTAGAATGGATCATTTGGCACACATTATTTTTTTGGGGAGCCTAAATTAAAGAAAAGAAAAAAGATCCATAGGGCATTTTGAGGAGAGTACGCATGATATGTTACACACATGCCTTTAAGTAAAATCTTGGTTTCGATTCCTGTAATCACTTAGTGCCTTCAGGCGTTTTTCTTACTAGAAGAAATAGCTCTAGACGCCTGTTCAAAGACAAGTTTCAACTAATTACAACTGGCCTTCCTAAAACTCTCCAAGGAGTCGTCTGAGTGATGCAGAGAGGTTCTTGTTCCAAAATTCTATTATTTCAGTTTGTGGAGTCTTATGAATCTTTCTGAATGAAAAACATTCTATTGATATTACTGTCTACTGGGGTAACTTACCCTTAGAAAAACCAAAGAAATTAACTGTTGGCCATATTTATAATTTATTATAATGTATATATAATTCAGATGGATCATATATATAATTCAGATGGATCATTTGCAAGGTTCTTAGATGATGGCTTACTTGAGATATCGACCCATACAGTGTCTCTCTGTATAATGTCTCAACTTTGTTAGACTTCCAAACAAATACTCTTTTCTGTGAAATTATGGTTAATTTTATAGCTCATTTTTACTTGATAGTATATAAACTATGCTTTGGGTCATAACACTTTTTATACTTATTAATTTTCTAAATGTTTATCGAATTTCCTTAAGTTGTTAGATGTTATATATCCAAGGGCATTTATTAATCTAGAAACCAATATAACCAAATAGTCTTCTTTTTTTGAGTAGAAGACATTTCCTCTGCAAGTTGAAAAATAGTACTTATCTCATGGTGACGATGTGAGAACGAATAAGATGTCATAATTTTTTGAATGTCTTTAAAAGAAATGATTTCAAATAACAGGTAGTATTTAATAAATTTTTGACTTGAAAAATTTCTGTCCACTGGGGGGGAAAACAAATCAACATTGATTTTTCTGTCAAATCAACAATGACAGAAAAAAAAAACCAAATTGACATTGATTTTTAGTATGTGATTTTACTGAATGACTAAAAACATTTTACATATTATTCCCTACTTGAACAATAGATATGTACAACAGTTTTTGTGTATATATGATTAGACTTTATGAAAAGAGTGAAACTAAGTCAAGGAGTGATTACTGACTTTTCACAAAGTGTCCCCCATTACATAAAGTTCATTTAACAAATAAGTATTGAACAATTTTTACATGCAACTACAGGCACTGAAATGGTGCTAGAGAGCAATAACAAGCAATGGGAGATGGTCTTTCTCTCCACAAGCATACAGTGCAGAGGGAACACTGGCATTTGTTAGATAATCACACGAATGTAACATTATGGCTGAGATAAGAGCTACACAAGAGAGTTATCTGTAGAGTCTATTAGGTATTTGGTTCACTCAGAAAAATTTTAGGGATCAGCAGAGATAAATGTATTTTGGAACGGTCTTTCAACTCTTTAAAAATTAATTGCCTTCACAGTTGAACTAAGCAAAGCAGTATGGAAGAAAAAAGCTATTTATATACAAAGGCATGTTTTAAAACCTCCAGATAAATTATGTGTGGTTTTAAATAATTGCTTCCAACTGTGTTTCGGTGGAATAAGAGGACTTTGGCTAAATATTTCAAAAGTGTCATGATCAGATCTAATGACTGTCATGGCACAGATTTTTTTTTGAAACACTAAAACATAAATTTTGCTAGATGTAGCTTTGGAATACACCCTTGTCTTATATAAAACACATACATACCAAAAAGACAAGAGTGAAAAAAATTCTCTAATCCTTCTGTAAAAAATCTGTGACATTTGCCAAAACACTTATATCTATAAAAAAGAGTTAATTTCTTAGGGAATTTTCAAGACAATCAGAGTGGACCAATTAGAATACTCACAATAGACATTATCACCAGAAAAGTTTATTTTAATCATTATACTGAGCAAATTAAATAGCCTGACTATGTAACAGGAAATCTCTTAAAAGAATATGCTACTTTGAAATATTGTATTGCAATATATTGTATTTCATTGGTTTAAATAATGTTCATATCAAACATAAAAATACGACTACCAAAATGCTTTGAGGTTTTCTTTTTTAACATTTTGTACTTTCTTGCATTTTGGTAGTCCTACTAAGATCAAATCCAGGAATGAAAACATGTTGCAAAATGATTGTTCTTGAGAAAGACTGTAATCCAAATGTAAAATCTGAAGTTCAAGAATTTGTAGGAAAAAACAATCTATATTGGCCTGTATGTGTTGGAAGAATTGACCATCCTGCTTTGAAACTAGTGCTTAACCAAGTTACTAGAGTAACCCAGCTAGGGTACCATGAAATAAGATATATGAAATAAAGCATTCTTATGTCATGGCTTCATGTGACTCTGATTACAGTAGAACTACTCATTAAGAGCAGTTTTATTGTATGTATTGTATTGTATTATGGTATTTACTTTTGTAGCTATTTCCTAGTACAATGATTAGATAAATGGTTACACAACACTTATTTCTTAATGAATATTTAGTGACTTAGCCTTTCTACCACAAAATAATTTTTATGACACATGAACTTCAGGATACCACTTGTCCTTTTATCTTTCTCAACTTAAAAATTAACTTTTAGAATATACCAAAGACCTATACACTTACAAGGACAATTTTTGGTCCTTTGACACAAAAATACCTGTTGCTCATGGTTACACTATCTGCAGTACTTCTATTTACCTTGGGGTTTCTTTTAGAGC
Source organism: Homo sapiens (assembly GCF_000001405.40). Classification (NCBI taxonomy): domain Eukaryota; kingdom Metazoa; phylum Chordata; class Mammalia; order Primates; family Hominidae; genus Homo; species Homo sapiens. The sequence continues at coordinate 93,745,981 of NC_000004.12, read as the reverse complement.
TCACAGAATCAGACAATCAAGCCCCTGCTACCTAACTGGGATCACTCCAGGAAATTCACACATAATCATTGTTTAATGTTTTTCTTTTCCTTTGCTGAAAGAGTTAATTAACTCTGCCTGCAGCACAAAGTCAAAATAAAACAAACAAACAAACAAAAAAGAAATAAAATAAAATATGCCATAGCTAAAGTAATTGCATTTTTCATCTTCCTGTTAATTGAAAATATAATTGTTTTCATTTGTAAACAGTACATTTAATTGGATAGTTAAACTTGGCTCCATATTTAGCTTCTGAGTCCTTACGAAAGAGAAGCTCACACTGGCTTCAACTATGTTTTGCATGTTTCAAAATCAAGTACAAATGTAAAAAGAGGTTCACTTTCAGAGCTTCATTAACTGTGGTTTTCACTCATGGAAGTATCTGCTATTAGGATTAAGGGGCCACTCACTGCCCTTTGGTACTCTTATCTCCAAAAAAAAAAGATTCCTCATCCCCACTGACATAAACAAAATGTCATATATTTTTATAAATGTGCATCAGCCTCTGCTGTGTAATCTACTTTGTTAAACCGAGGAAATAAGAATTCTGTAGCTAAGGGATGTATTAAATAAATAGAAGGCAACATTTTTCTCTCATTGAATTGATTTCTATTCTCTCTTTTTTTCTAAGTCTGCTGTGATTCAGTAAAGGAAATGTAGTTCACATTGTTTACAAGGTCAGCAATTAACGTTCTTGAGATGAAATTTATTTTTTCCCCAGAAAACCTACACTGGATCGAGCAGTTGGTCATGAAAAAAATGGTGATGATGACAGCAATAACAATTACAGCCATACATCAGAGATATTGCAGGTTCAGTTCAGGACCACTGTAATAAAGCAAGTCATGTTTTTGTTTTCCCAGTACATACAAAATTTATGTTTACACTATACCACAGTCTATTAAAAATATAATAGCATTATTCCTAAAAAAGTACATACCTTAATTAAAAATATTTTTGCTAAAAATGCTAATAATAATCTGAGCTTTCTGTGAGTCACAGTTGTTTTGCTAGTGGAGAGTCTTGCCCAAGCATTGACAGCTGGTAACTGATCAGCAGGGTGGTTGCTGAAAGTTGGAGTGGCTGTAGCCATTCTTGAAGTAAGATAACAATGAGGGTTGCTGTATCAATTCTTATTCCTTTCACAAAAGATTTCTCTATAGCATGCAAAGCTGTTTGATAGCATTTTATCCACAGTAGAATGTCTTTTGAAATGGAGTCAGCCCTCTCAAACCCTGCCTCTGTCTTATCAACTAAATTTATGAAATATTCAAAATCCTTTGTTATTTCAACAGTGTTCACAGCATCTTCACCAGGAGTAGCTTCTATCTCAAGAAACCACTTTCTTTGCTCATCCGTTCAAGTTTTATCATGAGATTTCAGCAATTCAGTCACATCTTCAGGCTCCGCTTCCATTCTATTTCTCTTTCTATTTCCACCACATCTGCAGTTACTTCCTCCAATAAAGTCTTAAACTCCCTCAAAGTTATCCATGAGGATTGGAATCAACTTCCTCCCAACTCTTGTTGATGTTGATATTTTGTCCTCTTTCCATGAATCCTGAAGATTATGGTGTATAGAATGGTGACTCCTTTCCAGAAGGTTTTTCAATTTAGTTTGCCCAGATTGTCTGTCTATGGTAGCTACAGCCAAAATGTATTTCTTAAATAATAAGACTTGGAAGTCAAAACTACTCCTTGATTCATGGGCCACAGAATAAATGTGTTAGCAGGCACGAAAACAACATTATCTCCTTGTTCATTACTATTAGAGTTCGTGGGTGACCAGGTGCATTGCCAATGAGCAGTAATATTTTGAAAGGAATCTTGTTTTCTGAGCAGTGTCTCCACATTGGGCTTAAAATGTGTTATAAACCAAGCTATAAACAGATGTGCTGTCACCCAGGCTTTATCGTTCCATTTATAGAGTATAAGCAGAGTAGAAGATTTGGCATAATTATTAAGGACTTTTGGAATGGTAAATGAGCATTGAAAGTCACCAAATGTATTCAGCCTTAACAAGATAGGCTGTCCTTTGAAGCTCTGAAGTCAAGCATTGACTTCTACTCTCTAGCTATGAAAGTGATAGACAGCATCTTCCTCCAATAGAGGGCAATTGCTATAGTTTGGATGTTTGTCCCTTCCAAATCTCATGCTGAAACTTGATTCCCATTAGGTGGGGCCTAATGGGAAATATTTGTGTTATCTTGACAGATTCCTCATGAATAAATTAATGCCCTTCCTTGGGGATGAGTGAGTTATTACTTTATTGATTCCACAAAAGCTGGTTATTAAAAAGAGTCTGGCACATTCCCTCTCTCTCTTGCTTCCTCTCTCACCATGGAATTTCTGCACACAGCAGCTCCTCTTCACCTTCCACCATGAGAGGAAGCACCCTGAGGCTTCCACCAGATGCCCAATCTTCCAGCGAGAAGAATCATGAACCAAAAAACCTTTATTCTTTATAAATTACTCAGTCTCAGGTATTTCTTTATAGCAAAGCAAAACAGACTAAGACAGCTGTTTCGTCTACATTGAAAATCTGTTGTTTAGTGTAGCCACCTTCATCTATTATCTTGGCTAGAATTTCTAGAGAACTTGCTGTAGCTTCCATGTTAGCACCCGTGGCTTTACCCTGCACTTTTATGTTATGGAGATGGCTTCTTTTCTTTAACTTTATGAACCAATCTCTGATAGCTTCCACTTTTCTTCTGCAGCTTCCTCTTTTCTCTCAGCCTCCACAGAGTTGAAGAGCATTAGGATCTTGCTCTGGGTTAGGCTTTGGCCTAAGGGAATATTATGGCTGGTATGATCTTCTATCCAGACCAATTAAACTTTCTCCATTTTCAGTAATAAGGCTGTTTCACTTTCTTATCATTCATATGTTCACTGGAGTAGCACTTTTAATTTCCTTCAAGAACTTTTCCTTTGCATTCACAACTGGGCTAACTGGCACAAGACAACTAACTTTTGGCCTATCTCAGCTTTCAACATGCCTTCCTCATTAATTATTTCTAGTTTTCGATTCAAGAGAGAGACATGTGTTCAAATGAAAGAGACTCTTTTTGTTTTTTCATTTGAACACTTAGAAGCTATTGTAGGGTTATTATTTAGCCAAATTTCAATGTTGTGTCTCAGCAAACAGGAGGGCCAGAGGAGAAGGAGAGATATGAGGGGAATGGTCCGTGAGTGGGGCAGTCAGAACCCACATAACACTTATTGACTGAGGTTGCCATCTTCTCTGGGTTCGGTTTATTGTGCCCCAAAACAATTATGATAGTAACATCAAGATCACTGATCACATATCAGCCTAACAAATACAATAATAATGAAAAAGTCTGAACTATTGCGAGAATTATTAAAATGTGATGCAGAGACACAGTGAGCACATGCTTTTGGAAAATGGCTCTGATAGACTTGCAGGGTTGACATAAACCTTCAATTTGTAAACACAATAAAGCAAAGTGCAGTAAAACCACATATGCTTGTATTGTAGCTTACAATAACCGAGCACATCTATGGTGCTATATTCTATGTTAGGTACTTTACACACATCGTTTAATTTCATCCTCAGAATACTCTATGAGAGTAATATATCAGTCTCACAGATGGAAGGACTAAGGCTCAGAAAAGTTAGGATGCTTAATCCATGAGGACAAAGCTTGTAGTCTGGCTTGTTGCTAGTGCCTGGAACAGCACTTGGCACTTATTGGGCATAACTACTCATATTTATTCATAGGCTAAATGAATGAAGAAATTAGTGTTCAGGGTATATTTGGGGGCAATTTAAGGAAGCTGCTAAGTGATGACATTGACAATAAAAATGTAGATGATTGTGAATCATAACTGTAAGAAAAAAAGTTTAATTGTATTGATTAAAAAGTAAAATCTCACATTTCCCTTGCTCTATTTCCCAAACCTATTTCCTAGATTTGGCCATAGTTAGTGGTTCAATGTGTGTCTGTTATACACCCACACATGAACAAACACACCACAAACACTTTTTTTTTTTTTTTTTTGAGACAGAGTCTCACTCTTGTCACCCAGGCTGGAGTGCAATGGCACTATCTTGGCTCACTGCAAGCTCTGCCTCCTGGGTTCAAGTGATTCTACTGCTTCAGCCTCCCAAGTAGCTGGGATTACAGGCGTGCACCACCATGCCCAGCTAATTTTTGTATTTTTAGTAGTGATGGGGTTTCACCATGTTAGCCAGGCTGGTCTCGAACTCCTGACCTCAGGAGGCCCGCCTCGGCCTCCCAAGTTGTTGGGATTACAGGCGTGAGCCACTGTGCTCGGCCAACACTTTTAACATTTCATCAAAAAGATCATAAAACTGTTGTTTAATTTGCTTGTTAAAAATTTAAGAATAATGTGTGCCATGGACATCTGTTAATGCCAGCATTTCATTATTTAACAACTGCCTAAGTTTCCACTGTATAAATGTGCCATCATTTATTTAGTCTCCTGTTGATAAAAAGTTGTCTTTTTAGTATAAACAAAGCTATGATAAACATATTTGCATGTATATCTTTCTGCCCTTGTTGAAGTATGCTGGCAGGAAGTAAAATTATCAGGTTAAAGGGTAAGTATATTTTAAATGTTAACACTCATTGCCATCTTCCTCCAAAAAGCTGTAGCAATTTACATGAGGAGCATTTAAAAAATACAGGCTCCTGGGTCTGTATCTTGGTCCATTGAGTCAAAACCTTGGTAAGTAGAGTCTGAGAATATATATATATATACATATATATATATATATATATATATATGTATATATATATATAGTTTCTCAGGTGAAATCAGTTAGTTATGGGAACCACTAATCTTGATTATTCTCTTCTTTGTGGGCAAAATGAGATTGAGACAGGAACTGAAACCAGCCTTAATATATAGAAGTATTTTGTTGAAACTATGTAGTCATTAAATTATTATCAACCAGATATGAAAAATACTCTTTATTGCTTTCAAATGTATTATCTTAATTCAGCTCCATAATACTCCTTGCAGGTAAGTAGGACAGAAGAGGAAAAAATGAACTGAAGCTCAAAAAAGTTAAGATCACTAAAAAAAAAAAAATAGTAGAACCAAGACTGGAATTCAGGCCATTGAAATTTAAATATCCTTGCCCCCCCAAGTAGACTATACAGAGAGGTGAATTATCACTGTATTGTACTATCCTATTAGAAATATATGTGTGATGACTATGTGAGAAATGTGGTTTTAGATTTTAAGAAGTAAGTTCAAGCATCATTTTAGGTTATGTCTTATGGTTCTGAAGATGATGAGACAACCAGTTGACTGACAGGAACGTAAGTAACGCACATATGTATCTATACACTTTATGTCTCAAAAGATCTGAGGCTGGCGCTACAGCAACTCCAGCAGCCTGGTTAGCACTTCCTGATTAACATCTCTAAAAGACTTTCTTTAACGTAAGTGATTGAGACAATAGAAATGACCAAAGAAAATAGCTGGTCTAGATGGATTAGAGAGCTAAGTCTAACCGGATTGTAGAAGATGGGTAAGTCAGTTCCCAAAAACTACCCAGGGTTCTGCGTAGCTTATTGGAACGTGAGGTTGCTGCCATGAGCTCTGAAATACAGTCATGGGTTGCTTGGCGGAGATATGTTCTGAGAAATGCATCACTAGGCAATTTTGTCATTGTGTGAACATTAGAGAGTAAACTTAACACAAACCTAGATGGTATAGACTACTACACACATAGGCTATACAGTGTAGCCTATTGCTCCTAGGCTACACACTTGTACAGCATGTTACTATCCTGAATACTCTAGGCAATTATTTGTGTATCTAAATATATCCAAACATAGAAAAGGTTCAGTAAAAATACAGCATTATAATCTCATGGGACCACCGTCTTCTATATGGTCCTTTGTTGACTGAAATGTCATTATGTCATGCATGACTATTGTTTCTAAAGCCTCAATCAAGGGTAACTTAAAATTTGTCTTTCAAGAAAATTCCTGCCTGAACAAGAGGCAGGGTGGCATTTTTATGAAGATGAATTTTATAGGGTTATTGTGACTATTAAATAAAACAGTAGATATGAGACTGGCCTTTATTGTTAGCATTGATAAAGGGCCTAGAATTCAGGAAAGTAATCAGGTCAACCGGAAGCTGAGTTCTAAGCTTGCATTAGGCAGAAAATGAGAAAACTAGTATTTGTTAAGCTCTTGGAATTTATTAGGCAAATTTCTCTGGAGGATAAATGTACTGAAGGAAGTTGGTTACCAGGTGCTCTCACCTTAGCCGGGTGGGGTGAGAGAAACGGCATCATTTTTTGGATAGTGGCAACTTTTCCTTCAAATTAGGAGTCCCTTAAAGTACCTAATATCAAGTCAGGGACAGGTGAGTGATTAGACCAAGGACAATATGTCTAAATAGTTATCCCTTTAAAAATGGGATAATCCCATGTTTTTTCTCCCCTTTAGGAATTTTTATATCCAGTGGGCCAATTTGCAGCTATAAGTAACATGGGCCCTGCAGTTTGAGGAAGGTGAAAGCACCTGAATCTATGTGGCATGATGAGGGGGTGCAAAAACAATGATTTTTACATGGAAATGGCTTCTTGTACCACTAGGCTATAGTTGAAGAAATTGTACCTAGTTTGTGGCGGGACCCAAATTGTTTATACAGCTTCTAGAAGACTATAAACACAGTTTAAACATACTAGTGTGTTAAATGCAAACATACAGAGTGACAATAGTGTCTTTTTTTGAGGAAACACCGTAGAAAATAAAGAAATGGTTTGGCCTTAAATAAAACTGTGAAGAAGCTGAAGTTTCACCAACGCTTAGCAAAGAAGCTGTGCCCCTTCCCTCTTCTATCATCCCCTGAGGTCAGTCAGTAGCTCCTGACTGACCCAGATTCAGAATCTACTGATGGCTGCTCTCTTTTAGGAAAATATACCCATCCTATATCTTCAAGCTGAAGAATCAATTAAGTGCTTTCCAGTGGGAGTCGATTTATTAAAACTCTGTTTTTCTCAGTCTTCCTATCACATTCCTCTTCCTCTCTCCAGTTGAATGTTAGAGTTACTCAGACCTGGATAGCAGGGGCTTTTATATTCTCTTCTCCTTTTCTACTCTCTTTCTAAATAATTCCATCATAATAATCATATTATAATAATCTTTCTAATAATCTAATAATCTGTTACCTGTCCAGATTACTTCTCTAAGCATCACCTGCTCAGTGGGATCTCCATATTATGTTCTCAGGTTAAATATATTTGCTCTCCTTCTCCAAGTGTGCACATCTGCAAGTTTTCCTTGTCACCATAAATGGAGTCTCCTTCCACCTAGTCACTTAATTTAGAGCCCCAAAGTCATCCTTCTGACTCCCTATTATTCTATTTCTACATTCTATCTATCATTAAGTCTATTAGGCATTTATTAAGTCTTCCCCTAGTTATATTTAAAATCTACCCTCTTGTTGCGCCTCCACAGCCATTGCTCTGGGTCAAGCCACTATCAGTTCCAGCCTGGATAATCATGTTAGTCTTTTATGTGGTTAACAGATTCCACTATCTCTGTCTCCAATTTGTTCTGTGTACAAAACCCTGAGCTCTCCTTACAAAACTAAATCGGATCATGTCACTTCCATGCTCATAACCCTTATATGGATTCCTACTGCACTTGCTAAAAAATATAAAGTCCTTGATATGACGAACAAATTTGTACCATCTTACCTCTTTCCTACTACTGCAGTCCAGGAGTCTCTCTAATTACACTAACCTAAAGGCTTGGGTTTGCCAATCTCTTCCAGGTTTAACACATGCTATTTCCTCTGTCTAGAATAGCTTTTCTCTTCTCTTTACCTGGCTAATATTTATTAATCCTTCAGGTCTCAGCTCTGGACTACTCTGAAAACTTTCACCTGGAATTAACATATTCCAATCCGTTCATATCTTGGCCAAAGCAAGTCATATGGCCACACCTGAATTTAACAGGACTGGGAAATATAATCTTCCATCATGGATATGAACTAATTATTGATGAATAGTTTTACAGTCTACAACAATTAGCTTGCAATAAGACAATAAAGATGAGTGAATATGTTAAGTTTCTTTGCTTTGGGTTGGAATTTTATCAATTAGGTGTGAGCACACTAGTGGTTTCATGCTGATAAGAAACTTGACTATATCTGTATATAGGATTTCAATGAAAATGGGAGTTAAATTAAGTATTACTACATAAACTCAATTTTCTTGAGAGATGGAATCTTTCGATATGAGGGTCAATGTGGGAAACAAGTGTCTTTGCAGGGGGAAATGTACTATTTACTGACCTAAATAATCTGAAATATTTAATTAATGTTTGAAATGCTAACAGACACTCATTTTATTTTATTTTTTAATTTTTTATAGAGACAGGGTCTTGCTATGTTGTCTATGCTTGTCTGGAACTCCTTGCCTCAAGTGACCCTCCTGTCTCATCCTCCCCAAATGCTGGAACTACAGGTGTGAGTAATGATGCCTAGCTGAAACCCAAACATTTAAAATGTAGCCTTCTAGTGATAATGTCCTCTGTATTTTGTTTAAGTCAAATCTAGTGGTGGAGATTTGAGGTGTAGAAGGTAGGATCATGACAATCTACTTTATCCTCTTTCTCTCTCTCAAAGATGTTCAATTTCACGAAATCTTTGATATCTTAAAGTTATTTGCAGAAATTTGCAGACAGAGATAACGTGTTGTGAAATACCCATTTTACTTGAAAATATAATTATAGTCATGATATTGTCAATAAAAAGGAAAGGAACTAACACTCTTTGAGCTTTTACTATGGCATCATATGTAAATTCTCCAAGCAACTCCAAGAAACTACATTATTAGTTCCATTTTACAACTAAAAATCATTAGCTGCTGAGAGATTAAGAATGTGCCTAAGGATACAAAGATAGTACATGGTAAGGTGAGAATGAAACCTCAAATTTGTCTGTCTCCAAAGCTCAACGTGTTACCTCAATGATGGTGATCTGGAGACCCTTTCAAGTCCCTTAAATCAAAGGTCATCCACAACCTCAGGTTTTGGGCTCATTGATGGATTTTTTTTTTTTTTTTTTTGAGCAAGTCTGTAAGGTAACAACCTGTAGGATTACCATAAATACAAAAAAAAATTGGAGCCATGCCTTTACTTCAGGCTTTTCTCTTAGATTTAATGCCAATATCCTAAACTACTAAAAAAAATCAAATATTCCTTCTAAAATAATAATGGATCACTATCGCTTCTAAAATAATAATTGACTTATTATTAGTAATTATTAATGAATAGCAAACCATTATTATTTTAGAAGCCCCAATAGACTATCTGAAATATTGAGTGACTACCAATACAACTTAAAAGAGCCGAATATAGGTACATCAACCTGACAATGTAAGCAGGCTTACCTTCTGCTAAATAGCACATTGAGGCAGCATGGTTAATGGGTATTAAGGCATAGTCTCAGAAGCCAGAATGCTTGATTTAAAGTTTGACTATATTATTGTTAGCTATGTAGCTTTGGACAAACAACTTCTATTTGGTCCAATTTCTTGTCTTGTAAGATTGGATAATAATAGAATGCATCTCCTGGGGTTGTTACAAGTATGATATGAATTAAAATTTGTAGGATGCTTAGAGGAGTGCCTAGCAGCAGAGTAAGTGCTATAGTGGGTCTTAAAATATAAGGACATTTCTATTAAGTCATATTCACTGATTTCTTCATTATTTATTATCTTTGTGTGCTAATCATCATCATCATGTATAACTTTGGCCAAAATAGGGAATCTCAGAAATCTCTTAGGAAGGGAATTTTTGTGTTTAATAAACTTAGAATTTTCCAGTAGACAGACAATGCCTTTCACCTTTTTTGTTGTTCGTTTTGAACAGAAATACAGTCTTGGTACTTAGATTATACTAAATTACAAAGTGACTTTTCCTCCTTTCCTCTTTCCCAGTATCCTCTTTCTCATTCTTTTCTGAGTTAGTTCTCTCCATAGTACACTGAATTAGTTTCCCTGCATAGTACACAGAATGCTAGGCATATGTCAGTTGATGTCATCATGAAGAACAGCAATAACAACATCAACAATAACAAAACAGAAAAAGAAAAATTTCCTGCTTCTCAATACTTACCTGAGAAAACAATAACACATTTCAGGATTTCACTAAGGTGGTCATGTAGGCTGGCCAACCCTGAACTTGTTTCCACTAAATGAGTTAATACAGAAGAAAACATTATTTTATTGACTAGCCAATGTCAACATTGCCCTAAAGAAAACGTGCTCACATTTTCTAAGGGAACCTATCATTTAATGCCTGAAATTATAATTTGAGCTGGGAACATTTCCATCATTTTTGTAAAGAACCAGAGTTACATTGATCAATGTAGGTAAAATTACACTTCTTAAAGAGGCAATATCAGTTTTTCTATATAATATGGAGGCTTAGATAGAAAATGAAAGAACTTAAAGAGTTGGTGATTTTTTTTTATTCCAATGGAAGATTTGGCCTTTGAAAGAAAAAAATAAAATTACATGTGGAAAATGAATTGTTGGTTGTATACATAAAACTTTCTTTAGGTTGTATACAGTACAGAAGGTAGGGGTAATGACAAAAAAGAAAAAGTCCTTTTTGAATAACCAAGGCCTATGACCACTGGGACACATTGGATGAACACAGTGGCTCCTTTGTGTAGTCAAATGTGTACTTAGAGAAATAATGACTTTTTACTGATTCCATTTGTTTAGTTATAGAACAACATTTTTTCTCCCTTTGGTCTTTTTTACTTAACAATTTCTCATTCAGCATCTCACTGAGCCAACAGCCCTGGGTTTTGATTTCACAATGTTTGCTTGCAATTTGACGATGCATCTTGGTCTCAAGATGACAGGCAAGAACATTTCATGAACTCAGACTTTATTAGTATTAATATTTCCAAAAGTTACATTTACACAATGCATATTGCACTTGGATGACTACACTTCAAAATGAATTTGCAGCAAAGACTTATTTATTAATGTTTAATGTTGCTTTTGTTACCCCATGAAATATTTTATTAAAAGCTTCAAATTTATTCTGGTTCCTTCTAAAGGATGAAAGTTTGTGTGCCAGGGCAAAAATTAATGGCGTGCAATGTTCCCTTTTGAAACTTTCTCTAAAATTTGCCTTAAAAAATTTTAAATAAACTTTTTCTGTAGACCATCCTGGCATTTTTATTTGTTGCTGTTGTTTTCCTACCAACCTCATACACTCCCACCACTAAGATAAGTAATATCAGGCCACAGTCTGTTGTCTGGGCTGTCGGTGATAGAATTCTCCAAGTTCATTCTTCTGCATGAACTTGGTGAACTAGTTCAAAAGGGAAACATCATTTTTTGATATGCTAACAGACACTCATTTTATTTTTAATTTAATTTTATGTTGGGAAAGATGGATTTTTGTGGTGGTGATTTTATGTATGTTATGAAATTTTGTAACTTTTGATTTCAATAAGGGAAACCAAACATTCACTACTGACAATCTTGCAGTCAACAGTTCAACTTGTTTTATCTTACCAGATTGCAAATAATTTTACGCTCTTATAAAAATGACTTATAAAATGGATGAGCAAATCAGAAAGATGAGCCTAATCTCATGACTACTTATTCTAAGGAAAAGGAGAGAGTGAGAATTAGGAATGATGGGGAAGAAAAAATGGGGGGAAAATATTCCTGGAGAATTTAGTTTCTTCTAATTACAGAGCTGGGTGTTTTCATATGTATTAAGCCAACTATTGTTCTCAGCTATCCTCTGAGGGAGAACTTTTATCATTCTGGTTTTACAAATAAATGCTTTGACATTAAGTGAGTTTGAGTAACTTGCCCAGTTTACCAGCAGAAAGAAGCAGAGTTTCAATGCAAATCTAAGGAGGTCTTAACTATAAAGCCTATCCACCATGATTAAAGGACCTTTATAGAGAAAGGATACATTTAAGAAGAGTTTTAAAAAAGCAGGTTTTGGGCAAGGTAAAAATCAAATTGTAATTAAGGTTAATAAAATAGCTTTGCTGCTTGCTCTGTGGCCTGGGGCATTCCTACTCTTAGGTCTGTCCTACATAGACCATTTAGTTCTGAAAACCTTAGAGGGAGAGAATTATTTACATTTATGAAATGTACCTAATATTAGTGTCATTAGCATCAACAGATCCTGCAGATTTGGAAATCTGACACTGAGTTCTAATCTGTGGTTACTTTTTGATCACGATTGATATTTGAAAGCAAATTGGGGGAAAACAAAACAAAACAAAACTCAAGCACTGAAATGTTTGGGATTTGAGGAAGTCTCTTTCCTTGGGTAGGTATTTATAGACAGGTAGGTAGGTAGACAGACAGAGTGACATATGGATGGAGATAGAGAACTCTATCTGAATGCCTATTATTTCCATTCAGACAGATACATCATTTTAACAAGAAGTTAATGTGGAAAACATCCTCCTTTGTTTTAACAGGCAGGCCATTTCAGAAGCAGGCACTTGGAGAAAATTTCTATGTTAGAAACTAGTTTTGATCTACTTTGTAAATAAGGAAGCCAGAGCACTTTTGAGTGTCTAAGAGCAGAGCTCAGACAGGAATTTCTGTTGTGAACCTGTGTGAGGCAGGCTGAAAAGTCCATATGCTAATTCTCCTATGGGGTTTTTTCAAGGATATATAAAAGCACATGAAAGTCTCAGACAGAAAAGAAGATATATCAGTGTGTACATATAGCTGCATTTCCCACAAGTGACCAATTGCTCAGAGACAATTCATATGAAACCTAAAATAAGCATTTTAGAAAGCCTCCCTAATTTGATGGTAGGGTGAAGTAACAGCAATAAAAATTATCAAATTCTTAAGAAGCAATAGCTGCATTGACTTCAGTTGTAAAAACAATACAAATATGTTGTTAATGCTGCTAAGCCATCAGTATCATTTCCTACTTTAGTGCCATGCTTTCAAATAATCTTTCTCTTTTATTATTTGTAGTTTCTCTTCTTTTTTTTTTTTTATTTTTTAAAGTGACCCCACATATGCACAACAAAGCAAATGTTTGCTTGGGATGTGTTGTTTTCTTAGAATTATTATGGAGAGAAGGTAAGGAAAGGACATTTGTACTAAAGCAATGTGAGAAGCTGCCTTTTTCAAAAGCATTTTTGTAATGTGACCATTAGCTGCTGATGGAGTTGCCATGGTTATAAGAGGTCCACTGTGGGAGAAATCTTCATTTATTATCAGATTTTGACAGCAGCGGTCAGAATGCTTGATGGGGGAAGAAAACATAAGAACAACATAAAAGAGCCTCAGCCATTTTAACCACACAAAGAGTTGAGTTATAACATTAAAAAAAATTCAACAATAAAGTCATGGATGAGTTGAGTGCCAAGAAAAATCTTGCTTTTGAAATAAAATATATTCCTGTAAACAGCAGAGGCAGAAAATGATAGTCTACTAAAGAAACAGGAGAGAAATGGCAGCAGGCATAAACCTGCTGAGTTGTATATGATTAAATTATTTTATGTAATACTTTACATTGATTGTGCATGCATTCTATGCTTTCTTTCAAATGCAAAAATCTGGGTGATTTAAGCTACAACTTAAAGAGTTACTGAGCTTCATGTGTCTCTTGTGGCATTTTAGTACTAGGAAAAGCCTTTGTACTAGGTGTACCTGAAAGCCCTGGAAATATTATTGTCACATAAAAAGTATAATAAATCCTCTTACATAGGCCTCACTATGCTATGGATTCACATCCTCCATGGAAAATCTATGATATGCATGTTAGCTTTCTCCTATGGTCTCAGTACTGTAATGGGATTCTGATGGGGGTTTTATGTTTTTGCCTCTTTAGAATAGCTGCTGATTTTTCTTGATGCTTCAGTCTTTACAGAGGAACCACGGTCTGTCCTTAGTTTCAAAAATATTAATGTGTAATAAATTATGTAAATTTATTTCTGGTTGAGTCAGGAGAAGAGATCCTATCCTTGCTGGATTCTGTGCGAAGACGGGTCTGTGATGTTTCTCAGTCTGCTGAACAGAAGCAAAACTTGGCTTACAGAAACAGAGAGCAACAGGGATGAGGACTGTCAAGGCCCAGGCTTTCTGGGGATAAAAGCTGACAGATGTACAGAAAGAGGGCTAGTAGTGGTGGAAAGTGTCTAGTCTTTTAGAGAGGAGAAGAGATAAGTGAGGGATCCTGAAGGAAAGCCTGCCCATCTGGAATGAGTCTGCATACCACAAGCTCTGTGGTGACATCAGAGTCCTCTGCGTGACTCAGCTGTCACTGACTCTGCTTAGAAGGCTTCACCCCAGGTCCTGGGGCTTTTTCTCTTCCCTGCCTTGCTGTAGTCTCCATCTTCTCTAAAACAATGTACTCAGTTAGCTTTTAAAACCATACTAATGATTTTATTGTGGTTTAAGGGCATTCAGGGGACAAATTCCTTACAAATCAGATGACAGCTGTACAGTCTCATGTATCTTCATCAGCTGCACACACGTTCTCATTGTCACCAACATCTTCATAGACTAGTGGATGATTCCTGTCCGCTCTCCCTTGCCTTCCATTTGCTGATAACCTATTGCGCTCTAATTTTCATTGTCTTTGCTCCACTGAATCTACTCTCCCAAGGTCACTAACAACTCAGTTGTCGACTGCAACAGATGATTTTCAGTCATGACCTTCTTGGCCTCTGTTCTCTTAGTCTCAGTGGTGCCCCTGCGCCTCAACCTGCTCCTGTGGGTTCTCATTTATGGAGCACTGCATATATGCCAAGAATTTAGCAAAGTTTTTTTACAAATCACGAGGTAGGCATAGATCAGGACATTGAGATTTAGAGAGTTCAAGTAACTTACTGAGCAGTCTGCTTCCTGGCCAAAAACCTGTGAGTGATTTTCAGGGCCAACTATAGTCAGTGACGAAAGCTTTGCCCAGCAGGTGTCACGGGGAAACTGCCCTCCCCACGCCGGGCTTGGTGTGCAGCCAGCGCGGCACAGTTTCTAAAGGGAGTTGCAGTCAAGGCCTCAGGCCTCCCTGGCAGACCATAGTTTATGCATATTTGCATTCCTACCCCCAGTGCCATCATTCAGAGCTCTCTTTGTTTGGAGCCTTTGGCAGGGGCCACCTTCAGGTGCCTCTGCTGAAACCACCTTACAGGGAAGAAAGGGAAAAACTTGACATTTGTCCCTACTCTGACTCAGTACTCAGTACTTTTCCACTCCTGGCTCTTTTCCGTTGTTTTCTTGTCAACCCCCTGCCCTGCTTAAGCCTTTTGTTTGGGGCTCCCTCAGCAATAAGATGACCCCAATATCTGTGCTGATCTACCTCATCTTGACCAATGTGATCTTCCATGGGCAAGTGCAATGGGATTGGGGGGAGCCAATGCTCTCTTGGCTCTCCAGTTCAGCCTGTTGATTACACTACTGCAGGAAGAGATTAAAGGCTTGATTGTCGCTTTTATTTTTTGGCTTGTTGTTTTAATCAGCTGCTCTGAGACCTGGCAGCTTAGCTGTCTCCAGCACAGCTGAGCTCCACACTTACCTAGTTCACACCATATGACCTGGAGATGGGATTAAAAGTCAGTGTGACTAAAACAATCTGAGTTCTTAACTACTATCTAGGCTGCACTCATATTTTCTGAGGAAGTTTTCTGAATTGTTTCCATGAGATCTACATCCCTTGTTTGTCTTCAGTCTTCTGCAATTTTACTCTTCCTAAGAGATTTATTCTCTCCTATGAATTTCACTACCACTTGTAACCTGATGACTCTTCAATCTTTATTGCCATCCCTAATCTCTCTTTCGCACTCAGAATGATAATTCCAGTGGTCTACTAAATATATCTGCTTGGATGGTCCAGAGGCAACTTATTTATGTATTCATGCATTCATTCATTCACTCATTCATCATTCATATACTTAATATATTTATTGAGTATTGCCTAATGTGCCAGGCTCTGTATTAGGCCCTAGAGACACAGGGATGAAAAGAAAGCACAGTCTCTCTGCTGTCCTGGAAATTGCATGTCCACAATTTCAGAGATAGATGCTGAAGCTGAACCATTTAATTATACATGCATTGGGTGCCATAAATCAAAGTGCAGAGTGTTACGCAGTAAGTACAAAAGAAGCTCCTAACTTAGCTTTGGTGTTTCAGAAAATGATTCTCTGTGCCGGGCATGGTGGCTCATGCCTATAAACTCCATCTCTACTAAAAATATAAAAATTAGCTGGGTGTGGTGGTGGGCACCTGTAATCCTAGCTACTCGGGAGGCTGAGGGAGGAGAATCGCTTGAACCTAGGAGGTGGAGATTGCAGTGAGCCAAGATCGTGCCACTGCACTCCAGCCTGTGCAACAAAGTGAGACTCCATCTCAAAAAAAAAAAGAAAATGATTATCTGTATTATCTGAGGAAGTGGTATTAGCAGAGTTAGCAAGAAAGGGGAGGGGAGGAAGAAAGAGTGTCACAGGTAGCAGAAATAGTATTGAAGAAGACATACGACACTGTTGGAGTATAGAGGTGGTGTTATTCCAGTAATACCTGGAAATCCAGAGATTTTATTTCTTTTCTAAACTGTAATCTGAATTTAGAGGTTTTTCAGTCTTGTCTCATCCTGGATCTCCTGTCTGTAGATTGAAATTTACTAGAACTTGATATTTTATTCAGCGGATCCATAAGTGGCTTGCTGACTAAATGCACTCTTCTTTAGCTCCCAGATATTCTTATTAAAAACTCTGGAACGGGCCGGGCATGGTGGCTCACATGAATAATCCCAGCACTTTGGGAGGCCAAGGTGGGCGGATCATGAGGTCAGGAGTTCAAGATCAGCCTGACCAACATAGTTAAACCTCATCTCAGGCCTGGAAGAAACTGCATCAACTAACGAGCAAAATAACCAGCTGACATCATAATGTTAGGATCAAATTCACACATAATGATATTAACTTTGAATGTAAATGGGCTAAATGCTCCAATTAAAAGACACAGACTGGCAAACTGGAAAAAGAGTCAATACCCATCAGTGTGTTGTATTCAGCAAACCCATCTCACATGCAGAGACACACATAGGCTCAAAATAAAAGGATGGAGGAAGATCTACCAAGCAAATGGAAAACAAAAAAAGGCAGGGGTTGCAATCCTAGTCTCTGATAAAACAGACTTTAAACCAACAAAGATCAAAAGAGACAAAGAAGGCCATTACATAATGGTAAAGGGATCAATTCAACAAGAAGAGCTACCTATCCTAAATATATATGCACCCAATACACGAGCACCCAGATTCATAAAGCAAGTCCTTAGTGACCTACAAAGAGACTTAGACTCCAACACAATAATAATGGGAGACTTTAACACCCCACTGTCAACATTAGACAGAAAAACAAGACAGAAAGTTAACAAGGATACCCAGGAATTGAACTCAGCTCTGCACCAAGCAGACCTAATAGACATCTACAGAACTCTCCACCCCAAATCAACAGAATATACATTTTTTTCAGCACCACACCACACCTATTCCAAAATTGACCACATAGTTGGAAGTAAAGCACTCCTCAGCAAATATAAAAGAACAGAAATTATAACAAACTGTCTCTCAGACCACAGAGCAATCAAACTAGAACTCAGGATTAAGAAACTCACTCAAAATTGCTCAAGTACATGGAAACTGAACAACCTGCTTCTGAATGACTACTGGGTACATAATGAAACGAAGGCAGAAATAAAGATGTTCTTGGAAACCAACGAGAACAAAGACACCACATACCAGAATCTCTGGGACACATTTAAAGCAGTGTGTAGAGGGAAATTTATAGCACTAAATGCCCACAAGAGAAAGCAGGAAAGATCTAAAATTGACACCCTAACATCACAATTAAAAGAACTAGAAAAGCAAGAGAAAACACATTCAAAAGCTAGCAGAAGGCAAGAAATAACTAAGATCAGAGCAGAACTGAAGGACATAGAGACACAAAAAACCCTTCAAAAAATTAATGAATCCAGAAGCTGGTTTTTTGAAAGGATCAACAAAATTGATAGACTGCTAGCAAGACTAATAAAGAAGAAAAGAGAGAAGAATCAAATAGATGCAATAAAAAATGATAAAGGGGATATCATCACCGATCCCCAGAAATACAAACTACCATCAGAGAATACTACAAACACCTCTATGTGAATAAACTAGAAAATCTAGAAGAAATGGATAAATTCCTCAACACATACACTCTCCCAAGACTAAACCAGGAAGAAGTTGAATCTCTGAATAGACCAGTAACAGGATCTGAAATCGAGGCAATAATCAATAGCTTTCCAACCAAAAAAAGTCCAGGACCAGATGGATTCACAGCCGAATTCTACCAGAAGTACAAGGAGGAACTGGTACCACTCCTTCTGAAACTATTCCAATCAATAGAAAAAGAGGGAATCCTCCGTAACTCATTTTATGAGGCCAGCATCATCCTGATACCAAAGCCTGGCAGAGACACAACCAAAAAAGAGAATTTTAGACCAATATCCTCGATGAACATTGATGCAAAAATCCTCAATAAAATACTGGCAAACCGAATCCAGCAGCACATCAAAAAGCTTATCCACCATGATCAAGTGGGCTTCATCCCTGGGATGCAAGGCTGGTTCAACATACGCAAATCAATAAATGTAATCCAGCATATAAACAGAACCAAAAACAAAAACCACATGATTATCTTAATAGATGCAGAAAAGGCCTTTGACAAAATTCAACAACCCTTCATGCTAAAAACTCTCAATAAATTAGGTATTGATGGGACGTATCTCAAAATAATAAGAGCTATCTATGACAAACCCACAGCCAATATCATACTGAATGGGCAAAAACTGGAAGCGTTACCTTTGAAAACTGGCACAAGTCAGGGATGCCCTCTCTCGCCACTCCTATTCAACATAGTGTTGGAAGTTCTGGCCAGGGCAATCAGGCAGGAGAAGGAAATAAGGGGTATTCACTTAGGAAAAGAGGAAGTCAAATTGTCCCTGTTTGCAGATGACATGATTGTATATCTAGAGAACCCCATCGTCTCAGCCCAAAATCTCCTTAAGCTGATAAGCAATTTCAGCAAAGTCTCAGGATACAAAATCAATGTACAAAAATCACAAGCATTCTTATACACCAATAACAGACAAACAGAGAGCCAAATCATGAGTGAACTCCCATTCACAATTGCTTCAAAGAGAATAAAATACCTAGGAATTCAACTTACAAGAGATGTGAAGGACCTCTTCAAGGAGAACTACAAACCACTGCTCAATGAGATAAAAGAGGATACAAACAAATGGAAGAACATTCCATGCTCATGGGTAGGAAGAATCAATATCGTGAAAATGGCCATACTGCCCAAGGTAATTTATAGATTCAATGCTATCCCCATCAAGCTACCAATGACTTTCTACACAGAATTGGAAAAAACTACTTTAAGGTTCACATGGAACCAAAAAAGAGCCTGCATTGCCAAGTCAATCCTAAGCCAAAAGAACAAAGCTGGAGGCATCATGCTACCTGACTTCAAACTATACTACAAGGCTACAGTAACCAAAACAGCATGGTACTGGTACCAAAACAGAGATATAGACCAATGGAACAGAACAGAGCCCTCAGAAATAATGCCGCATATCTACAACTATCTGATCTTTGACAAACCTGACAAAAACAACCAATGGGGGAAGGATGCCCTATTTAATAAATGGTGCTGGGAAAACTGGCTAGCCATATGTAGAAAGTTAAAACTGTATCCCTTCCTTACACCTTATACAAAAATTAATTCAGGTTGGATTAAAGACTTACATGTTAGACCTAAAACCATAAAAACCCTAGAAGAAAACCTAGGCAATACCATTCAGGACATAGGCATGGGCAAGGACTTCATATCTAAAACACCAAAAGCAATGGCAACCAAAGCCAAAGATTGACAAATGGGATCTAATTAAACTAAAGAGCTTCTGCACAGCAAAAGAAACTACCATCAGAGTGAACAGGCAACCTACAGAATGGGAGAAAATTTTTGCAACCTAATCATCTGACAAAGGGCTAATATCCAGAATCTACAATGAACTCAAACAAATTTACAAGAAAAAAACAAACAACCCCATCAACAAGTGGGCGAAGGACATGAACAGACACTTCTCAAAAGAAGACATTTATGCAGTCAAAAGACACATGAAAAAATGCTCATCATCACTGGCCATCAGAGAAATGCAAATCAAAACCACAATGAGATACCATCTCACACCAGTTAGAATGGTGATCATTAAAAAGTCAGGGAACAAAGGTGCTGGAGAGGATGTGGAGAAATAGGAACACTTTTACACTGTTGGTGGGACTGTCAACTAGTTCAACCATTGTGGAAGTCAGTGTGGCGATTCCTCAGGGATCTAGAACTAGAAATACCATTTGACCCAGCCATCCCATTACTGGGTATATACCCAAAGGATTATAAATCATGCTGCTATAAAGACACATGCACATGTATGTTTATTGCGGCACTGTTCACAATAGCAAAGACTTGGAACCAACCCAAATGTCCAACAAGGATGGACTGGATTAAGAAAATGTGGCACATATACACCATGGAATACTATGCAGCCATAAAAAATGATGAGTTCATGTTCTTTGAAGGGACATGGATGAAACTGGAAACCATCATTCTCAGCAAACTATCGCAAGGACAGAAAACCAAACACCGCATGTTCTCACTCACAGGTGGGAATTGAACAATGAGAACACATGGACACAGGAAGGGGAACATCACACACCAGGGACTGTTGTTTGGTGGGGGGAGGGGTGAGTGATAGCATTAGGAGATATACCTAATGTAAATGATGAGTTAATGGGTGCAGCACACCAACATGGCACATGTATACATATGTAACAAACCTGCACATTGTGCACATGTACCCTAAAACTTAAAGTATAATAATAATAAAATTAAAAATAAAACTCATCTCTACTAAAAAAAATACAAAAATTAGCTGGGCATGGTGGTGCACACCTATAATCCCAGCTACTCGGGAGGCTGAGGCAGGAGAATCCCTTGAACCCAGGAGGTGGAGGTTGCAGTGAGCTGAGATCATGCCGCTGCACTCCAGCTTGGGCGACAGAGTGAGACTTTGTCTCAAAACAACAACAACAAAAATAAGCTCTGGAACATGGTGCAGTGAGGACCTCTCTCTCCCCTACTGGACAACTAGTAGGGGACACCATCAACTGTCCCTCCTCTTCTCTCCCCACTCATTCCTCTCTCGGTCTCTTATTTTCTCCCTTTAATCACCTTCATATGGGCACTCATGTAGCGTCTCTTTTCGTAATTACAAGGCTTTGATTAAAGGATCAACAGGTAACCCAATGAAGGACATAGAGAAGAGAAATTACATGTAATTTGGTAATGTTTTTATGACTTCCTAATAGTATATTCCACGAGTTAGCTGCATATTTTTTAAAAAATTAATAAAATATTACATACCTACAAAAGAATATGTGTGACACATATTTAAGTTAAAAGCATAATAAGTAACTACCTATGAAGATACGATGCAACATAAAATTATAGGCCATGAAATTATGACCTTAGCTCTGTAAAGGAGGTTGGCTGCCTAGTCTATCTTCCTTCCCATTGCAAGGATTGTCTCTACTCCACCTCAGGAAGATGACAATCCCGCATGCGCTTGAACATTTTACCTAGCAGTCATGGCTCCCTGGAAATAGCATGGTGGGTTTAAAATCAGGAGTATTTGTCCTTTTTGAATATTACAGAAGTTTGAGGAAAAAGTGAATCTGGATGGTAGCCAAACTTCTGTAGGACTCATTTCGTGTCTTTTAAATATGTTTAATGTCTTCATCATTCACATTTCAACAGTAACTCATTTTATTGCCTGAAACCACCCTCGTCAAGGAGGATCATTCTAATGGAAAGAATGTTTGTATGTTGACAGAGAGCCTTGGAAGTGGTGATAGTATGTTCGTTAGAATGGACTCTCCCTTTAAAGAAACAAATCAAATCAGATATTGTGAAGAATGTAGTCTGCCTTTAATTGGTTACCAGTTTGTTATTTTACTAAATAATAGAATAAAAATCGAGAAGATTCTGTAATATATGATTCCCAGAAGACAGGGTTTATGTCTTACTCAACTAAGAAGGCTTGGTTACCTCAAAGTGAGATTGATGCACAGAGGGCAGGTAATAAATTATTTGCTATTACATCGATCCATTAGTCAAACTACTGAATTTACTCAAATTATACATATTGATGGTATCTTTATATCCCCTGGGGGAAATAGTAAGTTCATAAAAGCCATTGAAAAATTATCTTAAATAGAATTAAAAGTTCATAAAAGCCATTGAAAAAATTATATTGCATAGAATTAAGTGACATGAGCTGCACCTGGTGCAAGTATATGGTCACTATGGTCAGTCCAAGCTGGTTGTGTGTAGCTAACATCAATTCTGATTGGTCCATACCCTAATCTCCTGGTCTGGGCCCATTTTTATTGATCTGTGCTTTCATTCTGATTTGCCTGTGTCTGTAAAATGCAGCTGTTTAATATTTGCAATATAATTCTTGGTTTCACCATTTATGTATTTAATATGTAATTTATTCATTTATTTCTCAAAAATTATTAAGTATTTCCCATGTGATATTTTGGTAATACTAATATTCTTAAATGATGGCCCCTGCTCAAGAGTTACTCACATGGTAATGACTGACCGTAATAGCATAGGATGAATGAAGTTCTATCAGCAACAGGTATAAAACACTATGGAAAAACACATGATTCATTCTGGTAGGGGCTAAGTGGAGGATGGCTTGGTCTTTGAATAATGTGTTGAAGCTTACCCTATCCAATTGATGAAAGTCATATCAGACAAAGAGAAAATCATAAAAACAGTAAGTAGATGTAAATATGTTTAAGAAACACCACTTACCACTGTACCCAGAACACAGAGAAGTTGGAGTGGGATAACCTGGGGTGGTTACATGGTTTTCAGTATCTGTTTGGAAGAAGTTTAGAATTTTCTCTGAAGGCAATGAAGAGACATTGAAAACTTTTTAGTAGGGGAAACAAATAGATCTATGCATTAGAAAGATAGGTATGGCTGCTTTGTTTGTAAAGGTATTCAATTCTCCAGAATAAGGAACTAGTGTATGATAAAATATGAGGCAGAGATGATGAGTACCTTAGGTTATAACAGTGGAGATGGAGAGCAGGAGACAGAGCTGCAAGTCCGTCCAGAGAGAACTCTCAGGAAGTGATCCATAAATATGGGTGGTGAGAAAGTGGGAGGCCAAGGCCAACTGGCAGTTTTCAGTTTGAGTGATTGGGTGGATTGTAAAACCATTAATATAGATGAAGAATCTAGGAGATAGTTTCTTTTTTGGGGGGACACAAAGATTAGAAGGTGTGAAGAGTATGAACTTGATTCTAGATATGTGTTTGAAGTGACACTGATGTGTTGATTAGTGATAAGGCCATATTTATTAGAAATAACATAGAATATGTTTCTGAGTTTAGAAATTTGTGTTAAAGTTCCTGGTCCGTAACTCACTAGTGATATGATTCTGAATAATTTCCTTGATTCTCTCATCTGTAATTCATGAGTAATAACTAGCATATAACCTTGGGGTGGGGTTAAATGTGATAAGGTATAAAGTATATAGTAAATAAATAACTAGTACTTAGTATAATATTAACAACTTATTGGCCGGGCGTGGTGGCTCATGCCTGTAATCCTAGCACTTTGGTAGGCTGAGGCAGGTAGATCACTTTCAGGAGTTTGAAACCAGCCTGGCCAACATGGTGAAACCCCATCTCTACTAAAAATACAAAATATTAGCCCGGCGTGGTGGTGGATGCCTGTAATCCCAGCTGCTTGGGAGACTGAGAAAGGAGAATAGCTTGAACCTGGGAAGTGGAGGTTGCAGTGAGCTGAGATCATGCCATTGCACTCCAGCCTGGGCGGCAGAGCAAGATTCCGTCTCAAAAAAAAAAAAAAAAGAAAAAAGAAATTATTTTCTCCTCTTTTTCTTGATTTCAAGTTTCTTCAACTATAGAATTAGAAATTAGAGAATTTACTCTTCTCACTTAATCCTGTTATTATGAAGATTAAATAAAACAATCTCTGAACAAGAAAAATGGAGACAAATTTTAGCAATTAAATAAATAAATTATAGGTCTTTTAAAGACAAACATGCTAAAAGTATACAGTTACAACAGCAACTAACTTTTATTGCATTTTTATGACTTGACAGACACTATGCTAAGTATCTTATATACATTATTTCCAATACTCACACCAATCACAGAGAGTAGATACCATTATTATAACAATTTGACAGAAAAAGAAGCTGAGGCCTAAAAGGTTTGATAAGATCAACAGCTCATCAGTGGTGGAGTTGGGATTTGAATTAATGCTTTTTCACTTTAGACACCAGGACTAAAAACTATTTCCTTTATTACATCTGAATATTTAGCTTTTGTTAACCTAGACATTCCTGAAATATAAAAATTCTTCCTGCACACATAGTTAGCCTGGTGAACAAATTCTAACCACCCAATTCAAAGTATTTAAGTTGCTAAGAATGTCTTCAATTTTATTGACACTTTGATCCATCCATTACCTAACTTACATTTTTTAATATTCGATCCCTTTTTGACTATTTAATATTTTATCCCTTTTTAGGAGCTATATTAATCCTTTTGTTAGGCTGATAAATACACCACAACCTAAAAATTTATTGAGAAAGACCTTTGAAATACACATCACAAAGTTTCAGACTCAACCAAGTTTAATTGTCCTCAGTCATTGAAAACAAATTCTTTGATTTCCTGTAAAACTTCGTTGAGTGATGGAGTATAATTAGAATGATCTGAATTTTTAAAAATGGGGATTAATAAAGGACTTGAGAATGTTTTACTGGCAAATCTCAGGATGCAAACATATCTTGTGTTCATCCTATAAATTGCACAGCCAAACTGTTCACTGGGAGGAGAAAACAGCAGCAGCAGCAACAACAACAACAACGAATATGTTGTTCTTGCTATGCTCTGTAACACAAAGCACTGGAGGTTTATAAACCCATTGAAGGTATCTATTAGTCCCATCATAGAGATTTTTTAGGTGACTTATGTTTACGCAGAACTCTACATTTTATGAGATTACTATGTAGTGATTAAACTTTCCTCCTTTTGCCCTTTTGACTTGATGGAAAAAAGAAAGTTCATGTTTGCTGATTCTTATATGACTAACCAATAACCTGAAAGAAGGTGTTTGGAGTTTGCTTCTTGCAAGCAGGGTCCATTTAATGATATCAGTTTGTGAAGCATACAGATGCATCATTCCAATATGTGCAAAATTCTCAGTACAGTACCTGGTGTATAGAAAATGCCCAGCAGGTGTCTGTGACCATTTTCTTTTCTATTATTCTGTATTTACTTCCTGACTGTTTCGTGAAATATTGTCATTTTATTCAAAGAATGAAAAGAGAAAATGAAAGGAGGTAAAATTAAATGAGCAAACTCTACATGCTTTAGCATGTTTGGCCTCAAATTTTGGTAGGGGAAGAGATTAATATAAGGTTTCTGGACCATCTAAGACCTTGGTTGCTACATAATCATTGTTTCCTATTCTTTTTAATATTGCATCAAAAGTTGATTGAGGCTGCCTATCATTTAAAATGAGATAGAGAGCTACAACTATCAGGAATGAATGGCCTGCAATGGAAATTTCTTAATATGTACTCATTTGTTCTCTTCTTGTAGTCATTTTTTTTGGGGGCTCTCACTCTCCAAACCAACTATTGGACTTTGTTCTTTCATATCATTAAAATCTAATGTTATACACAGGAGCAGAGTAGACTCTTTTCTATGAGATTTGTTATTTAAGGATTCTATGATGAAACAGACTTCATCAAAAAATAAGGTGGGGTGGTAGGAAGTTGAGCATATAGTTTAAGAATAGAGACAGCAGCTTGAGACCAGGGAGAGAATTCTGCAATTTTGAATGGAGGAGGGAAAAAGCAGCTTGGAGTGAATGGGAAACATCAGGGAGTCAATCAGACTGCACAGGAAATGTCCAGGAAAAGATGCTTGTTCTATCTGCTGGAACTAACTGCCCATGCCATACTGCACTGTGTATTTGCTTAGTGACCTGGCTTTTGTGAGTCTTGCTCAGACTATTGGAATCATGTGGAGGATATTGCAGCAAACATTTAGGTCCAGTGATGAGTGGGTATGAGATCATCATTAGTATTAAGTATTTATTAAGTGTGTAGTAAAACTATAGATTTCATCATAGAAACTCAATTTCCCTATGGATCTGATTGATGCCTTGTAATTTTTCATTGTTTGAAAATGTGTAACACTGCCTTGTGAGCGGAAGTAGCCCTTCTGTGAATTGAAAATGAAAATCCAAAATACCATAAAAGCTATGATGTGGGCAAGAAAAAAAATCACTTTATCTATAAAAAGATGAGCCTTTGGAGCATTTAGCAGTTTTCTCCTTAAAAAAAAAAGTCCCTTGGATTGAAATAAAATCTACCATTGTCTTCTGGTTTTATTCTAACCCAAGATTAGAAAAAATAACTTTTCACAAATTTGCAGTTGCTTAATCTACATAAGTTTGTATCAGATTCTTCTGTTTATCTTGTCAAACTTGTAAAATTGAGTTAGATTCAACTTAATATATATAGATAGCTAGATCTATAGGGAAGAAAATAAATCTTAAGTGTTTTTTCTCTTTTAAGTGTTTATGTTAATCTGAAATATTTGTAATATATTATCAAAGTTAAAATGTTATTACATAACTGAATGGAATTGTCACATTTTCTTCACATAGATATACTTAATATATATAACATTTATATTTCGTATAATATATAAATATTATCATCCAAAAGCTTTCAAAGAATTTTTATATTTCCTTATTTAATCATCCATCATCAGCTATGATTTATCTTTATCACAAGGACAATTTGATGCATGAAAAGCTTGGATAACCTTCTATGAAATTTTAAGAGTTATAAGTGGGGCTGAAAATTGACTCATAGAATTTGAGAAGAGAAAGAATGTTCTTGGATGGAAGATTAAATGATTTGACCATCATCTTACAACTAGTTATTATCAGCGGAACTCAAATGTCTTGACTTTCAGTTTTGTGTTTTATCCTCTGTACTGCATTGATTCCTACGGATTTTTTTTTTAAAGAATTCAGTCCATGATTCTGCCCAGTTGTCTGGCCATCAGGAATGGATTGAAACCAAAATATGTGCCAAGAGTTTCATTCAACATTTGTTCAATAAGTATTTACTGAGTAGCTACTGTGTAAAAGCTATTGTTTTAGGTGCTTTGGATGAATCATCAAACAAAAAAGAAAAAATTCCTACCTTCATGGAACTTAAAATAAAATTAAAGCAAACTATATCTTCAAAGAAGGTATCCTTGGCTTTTTCTAAAATGCATCAACTTAAGATTTCTGACCATTACGTCATTGGAACTTTGCCTGAATATGGAGTATTTCTTAAAAGTTGTCATTTTATTTAAAATGACTATTCTCAGAGGTATGACTGAGCAGTTGCTCAAGCAATGTCAATCTTCTGATAGAATTCTAGAGTATGTCTCTTCCTTCCTCATGTCCAAACATAAATGAAAATAATTTTTTTGTATCCAAATCTTTATGATTCCATTTTCCTGGAAATGCATATAGGGGTATATATACAAGTACACATCCATATGTATCTTATTTTGAAATCTTCTGTAAGTATTTCATTGATCAACTACAAAGCACTGTGCCTCTAAAATACTTTGTACTACTTTTTTTTGTATTTTTAGTAGAGACCAGGTTTCACTGTGTTAGCCAGGATGGTCTCGATCTCCTGACCTCGTGATCCGCCTGCCTCGGCCTCCCAAAGTGCTGGGATTACAGGCGTAAGTCACCGCACCCAGCCCACTTTGTACTACATCTTAACAACATCATATTCTTTCCTGTATTACACTCACTTGCATAAATATGTTTCTTACTCTATTATAACTCTCTCAAGATAGTAAGTAGTAAGGGCCAGAATGTTCTCATTGAATTATGGTTGACTTGTTTTAACCCTTCAACTGCCTATATTCTAACAGTAAAAAATAAGCTTTTAAGATTCTTTATCTTAGCACTTGATTCTATAAAAGGCGTATCACCTTTATGGAGACACTTACTGGCTAGAGTTTATAATTAGAATAAGGAAAAGAAAAACCTTGTAAGCCATATACAGCATATAATTATTATGATCTTAAACGTATGGTTATAAATATAGACGAAAATACACACAAAAAAGAAAACATCTGTTTCTGGGAAGTAGAAAATGGCTTTTTTTCCATGCAAGTTTCTTTGAACACTACAGCAAATATATTTTTAAAAGATAGTTAGCAGTGCTTAAGTAATGCTCCAGTAATACAACAAGGGGAATATAAGGGCTCTGAAGTGTTTAGTTTCAATTCTTCACTAGTCAGTTACTCTAAAAAAAAAACACCTATTACAGCATCAATACAGGCATCAGGGAGAAAGTTATCCATATTACTTCCATTAACCCAAAAGATAATTAATATTGAGAGAGTGACAATAAAAAACCAACTTTAAAAACTAAAACTGAGAAAATACTTCTCCTTCCACTCCCATACCCCATAAAGTTCCAACAGGACAAGAATTTAAAAAGAGCCAATATAGTCTTTAATTAGTTATTTTAGTATCTATGTCCAATATGGCAAACACGGAATGAATAGAAATAAAGCCTTCCACTTTAATTAGACTTTTCAAAGGAAGTGATGGAAAGAACTGACTGCAAAGCAGAGCTATAAAGAAGACTCTTATTGAATAGTTAGCAGGAAATCTTTTAATTATTGAAGCTGATAAAGCACTCTGTAAAGCTTCTTTATCTAGTTGAGCCTGAATACTTTTCACTGCATACTTTTTAAATATAGGTAAAAAGAATTCCAGCTCTATTTTGACCCTGACTATGCGTTTTTAGTAATGATCTAAAGAAAAAAATTTGCATTGATCTAGAGACCCTTTCTTTGAATACATTTATAAAGTTCTGTTGTGTATATTAAATTCCTTAGATTTAAGCAATAACTTTTAAATTCATGTTGAAATTGAAAAGAAATTGAGTAGATATAAGGCATGCTAGAATGACTAGTATTAGTGAAGGAGGGAGAGCTAACTTAATATTTAAGTATGTATTGATTTTAAAAGGTATATCATATGTATACTTTCATTATAAATGTATATATAGCACATATATTTACATACATATTAAATATATTTATACTTACATATATATTGTAAGTAATAACTGTCCATTTTAAATAGATAACATTTAAAAGCTGAATTGAGTATGACTAGTATAAAGTGGATTCCACTATTACAATTATTGTCTTTTTAAGGAGTTAAGTGCTTAATATATTCTGTTGACAATAGTGTTGAAATATTTAATTATGTCCCTGCTATATTTTGAGTAATTTGCTCACAGATTACAGAACTGGCACAGCTGACCTAGAGGAACATTTCTGAACTCTGCCCCCTGCTGTGTTTTGGCTCTGCAATGATAATTCAATTTTAATACGTAATTATTTTGGAAATATCTAGCAATGCTCAGGATAGTTGTTTCCCTCATCTTTTCTATATCTTTTATCCTTAATTCATGTGTGTATGTGCATATGTAAACACAGTTCTGACTGTGCTGCCTACAGGTTTATATACACATATTTACTCTTATATACCCAAGTACATGCATACTTAAATGGTTCCAGGTAAGCAGAATTATATGCAGCATATAAGTGGGCACATATCTAGGAAATAAGAAGGTTGAAAAGATGGCAAAGTATCAATATGATACTGAATGGGCAAAAGCTGGAAGCATTCCCCTTGATAACTGGCACAAGACAAGGATACCCTCTCTCACCTCTCCTATTCAATGTGGTATTGGAAGTTCTGGCCAGGGCAATTAGGCAAGAGAAAGAAATAAAGATACTCAAATAGGAAGAGAGGAAGTCAAGCTAGCTTTGTTTGAAGATGACATGATTCTATATCTAGAAAACCCCACTGTCTCAGCTCAAAAGTTTCTCCAGCTGATATACAACTTCAGCAGTCTCAGGATACAAAATCAATGTGCAAAAATCACTAGCATTCCTATACGCCAGCAACAGGCAAGTTGAGAGCCAAATCATGAATGAACTCCCATTCACAACTGCCACAAAAAGAATACAATATCTAGGAATATTGCTAACTAGTGAAGTGAAAGATCTCTACAAGGAGAACTACAAGCCACTACTCAAAGAAATCAGAGATGATACAAACAAATAGAAAAACATTCCATGCTTATGGATAGGAAGAATCAATATTGTGAAAATGGCCACACTGCCCAAAGCAATTTTTAGATTTGATGCTATTCTCATTAAACTACCATTGACATTCTTCACAGAATTAGAAAAACCTATTTGAAAATTCATATGGAACGACAAAAGAGTTTGAACAGTCAAGACAATCCTAAGCAAAAAGAACAAAGCTGGAGGCATCATGTTACTGGACTTCAAATTATAGTATAAAGCTACAGTAACCAAAATAGCATGGTACTGGTACAAGAAAAGACACATAGACCGATGGAACAAAATAGAGAATGCAGAGGTAAGACTGCACTCCTACAACCATCTGATCTTCAACAAACCTGGCAAAAACAGGCAATGGGGAAAGGATTCCCTATTTAATAAATGCTGCTGGAAGAACTGGTTAGCCATAGGCAGAAAATTGAAACTGGACCCCTTCCTTACACCATATACAAAAATCAACTCAAGATGGATTAAAAATTTAAATGTAAAACCCAAAACTATAAAAACTCTAGAAGAAAATCTAGGCAATACCATTCAGGACATAGGCATGGGAAATGATTTCATGAGGAAGACACCTAAAGCAACTGAAACAAAAGCAAAAATTGACAAATGGGATCTAATTAAACTGAAGGGCTTCTGCACAGCAAAAGAAATTATCCTCAGAGTGAACAGACAATCTAGAGAATGGGAGAAAATTTTTGCAATCTATCCATTGGACAAAGGTCTAATATCCAGAGTCTACAAGGAACTTAAACACATTTATAAGAGAAATACCAACAACTCCATTAAAAAGTGGGCAAAGGACATGACAGACACTTTTCAAAAGAAGACATACATGTGGCCAACAATCATATGAAAAAAAGCTCAACATCACTGTTCATTAGAGAAATGCAAATCAAAACCACAATGAGATACCAACTCACACCAGTCAGAATGGCTATTATTAAAAAGTCAAAAAACAACAGATGCTGGTGAGGTTGTGGAGCAAAAGGAAATGTTGGTGGGAGTGTAAATTAGTTCAACCATTGTGGAAGACAGTGTGGCAATTCCTTAAAGACCTAGCGGCAGAAATACCATTTGACCCAGCAATCTCACTGCTGGGTATATACCCAAAGGAATATAAGTCATTCTGTTATGAAGATACATGCATACATATGTTTGTTGCAGCATTATTCACAATAGCAAAGACATGGAGTCAACCTAAATGTCCATCGATGATAGACTGGATAAAGAAAATGTGGCCCATATAAACCATGGAATACTATGCAGCCATAAAAAGGAATGAGAATTATGGTCTTTGCAGGAACATGAATGGACCTGGGGGACATTATCCTCAGCAAACTAACACAGGAAAAGAAAACCAAACACCACATGTTCTCACTTACATGTGGGAACCGAACAATGAGAACGCACGGACACAGGGAGGGGAACAACACACACTGGGGCCTGTTGGGGGTGGGGGAGGAAGGAGAGCATCAGGAAGAATAGCTAATGGATGCTAGGCTTAATACCTAGGTGATGGGATGATCTGTGTAGCAAACCACCATGGCACATGTTTACCTACGTAACAAACCTGCACATCCTGCACATATACCCCTGAACTTACAATAAAAAAAAATGAAAAGATGGCAAAGTATAAGAAAAAGCATATGAATACCAACATAGATTGAGGATGCAGTATTAACTTTTACAAATATATGGATGGAGAAAATGGAAACATATGAAGAGTTTTGGGAAAGAACAGGTGTGAATTAGTTAAGCTGGAGTTTTGAGTGAAAAAGTTTGATACTAGTAAATTAGGACATTCACCAGATTTGCTCTTGAGGATTGTAAAGTAAAACTCTTGTTTTAGGGTTTATTTATTCTTTTCCTTGGTAACCCTATCTAAAAAAGCACCCTGCTTGTCACTCTCTATCCCAATAATCTATTTTTCTTACAACCTAACATTATATAATCTTTTTTTTTTGTAATGTACCTCCCTAGAACAATATAAGCGCAATCAGTGCAGGAATTTTGCATGTCTTTTTCACCATTGTATCTTCTCCACTTAGAATAATCAATGGGAAATAGTAAGCACTCATTAAATATTTGAATGCATAAATAAATAAATAAATAAATAAATAAATTCCACATTTAAGATCTCTGTCAAAGTTATGAAGTCCACCTGAACTCCCCAACTATTTTTTTAAAAGGCAGAAAATGAACAACAACAACAAACAAACTGTCAGGATAAGACTTTAAAATGTCAAAAACTGACAGCCCAGAATTCTGGAAACATTGAAGGTACTCTAGGCTAGAGGTGAGCAACTGGTTGTAAAATGAACTTATATTATTTACTGAAAAAGAAAAGATTATTACACATTCTGTTCCAACTTTAAAGAAGTAATACCTTGAGAATCATTAGAAATTCATTGTCTAACATCTAAATTATTTGGAAAGAATTTCCCAAATTTTAATAAGTTGAACTCATTTCAAGAACCCAAAAGGTAAAAACAAAACATAACAAAAAACTCTTATATTCAGGAAAATGGCTCATATACAGTTCTATGTAATTGTAGATAAATTGGCCAGGTGGGAGGTAGGATGCGATGTCACAGATTTTACATGTCTTACTGACTTGCATACTGGATACCTATTGTATCTCTTATACCCTTACAAATTGGATGGAAGAAGCCAGCTGTGTAAGTGGAAGCCTTTTAGAAACAAATAAAAAACTTATAATAAGAGTTCAAGCAGTAGCGTTTACTCAGTATCACATAAATCGTGGAAAATTTAAGGTTATTTTCAGCCTTGTTAAAAACTCAAGGCATCATAAATCAATGTATTTTCATCTCACACATTATGGAAATAAAATAATTTATTTATGTATCAGTTGAATACTTTCACAGGCATTTATTCTGAATTACGTACCACGTCAGGACCAAGGTTATAGATTTAAGTGAGAGATGGTTTATGTCCTCATGAAATTTATAATTTTGGGGAGGAGAAGGGGTGAAACCAGAAATTAATAAATAATTACATGAATAATCAATTATTTAAAATTATTTTGATTTTTAAGAAGGAGAATTATAAAACATTATAGCACATATAAAAGTGGGATATAACTCAATGGGAATGGTTAAGACATTCTTTCTGCAAATTACATTTAAGCAGAGATACAATCTGTACATTAAAAATACAACTATGATGATAGTGTAATTTGTTATCTACATGGAAGAAAATCTTATAATTGCATCACTATTTCACAGCACACTAAAAGATAGATTCCAAGTAGATTAAAGATAAAATGTGAAAAAGAACAGAAATAAGAATATTTGGAGAAAAATATATAAGATAGGGATTGATTTCTTAAATAAGAAAGAAATATAAACCATTATGAAAAGATTGGCAAATTCAATAAAAGTAATAATAAAATTTGAACTTCTCTGTGTGAAAAAATATTGTAAATATGTAAAAAGTTAAGCCAAAAATGGTGGAAGATATTTGTAACACATGAAAACAACAAAGGAATCTTATCCCTAATGTATTAAAACAACAACAACAACAAAAAAACTGAAAAGCTCTCAGAGCACAGGCAGAGCAAGATGGCTGAATAGAACCTTCCAGCAACTGTCCCCACCATAGGAATACCAAACGGTACAACTATCCACACAAGAAAACAGCTTCATAAGATTAAAACATCAGGTGAGCACTTAGAGTACCTGATTTTAACATTGTATCGAGGAAAGAGGCACTGAGGAGGGTAGGAAAGACAGTCTTGAATTGTCTACACCACCACCCGCCCATGCCCCAGCAGCAGCCATGTGGTGCAGATGGAGAATGTGTGCTTGCAGGATGGAAACAGCACTGATTGTGGGACTTTGCACTGGAACTCAGTGCTACCCTGTCATGGTGGAGAGCAATATGGGGCAGAATTCAGCTGGCGCACACAGAGGTAGCATTTAGACCATCCCTAGCCAGAGGGGAATCATCCATCCCACTGGTCAGAACTTGAGTTTTATCAAGCCCCACCACCGTGGGCTGAAGTGCTCTGGGGTTCTAAATAAGCTTGAAAGGCAGTCTAAGCCAAAAGAACAGCAATTCCTGGGCAAGGACTTTGTCTTGCAACTTGGATACCAGCTCAATCTCAGTAAAATACAGCATAAACGGAGTCTTGAAGTCCCTATTCCAGACCCTAGCTCCCAGACAACATTTCTAGACATACCCTGAGCCAGAAGGGAACCCTCTGCCTTTAGGAGAAGGATTTCCTCCTGGAAGGATTCATCACTTGCTGACTAAAAAGCCCTTGGACTTTGAATAAACATCAGCAGTAGCCAGGCAGTACTTGGCACAGGTGTTGGGCAATACCCAGTACCGTGCTGGCTTTAGGTCTGACCCAGTGCATTCCCAGGTGGGAAAGCCATGAAAATAGACTCCTTCTACTTGACAAAAAAGGAAGAAGGAGTATAAAGGACTTTGTCTTGCAACTTGGGCACCATCTCAGACACAGTAAATTAAAGCACTAAATCCCTGATTCCAGGCCTTAGCTCCTGGACAGCATTTCTACAGCTGCCCTGGGTGAGAAGGGAACCTGCTTCTCTGAAGGGGGAGATTCAGTCCTGGCAAGATTCAACACCAGCTGACTGAAGAGCCCTTAGGCCTTGAATAAACATCAGTGGTAGCCAGGCAGTACTCACCATGGGCCTGGGGCAGTGGTGGCCATGGGGAGAGATTCTTTTTGCTTGAGGAAAGGAGACGGAAGAGTAAAAAGGACTTTGCCTTGCAACTTGGGTACCAGCTCAGCCACAGTAAAATAAAGCACCAAATAGATTTCTAAAGTTCTCAACTCCAGGTCCTGGCTCCCAGACAGCACTTCAAGACCCACCCTGGGCCAGAAAGGAATTTGCTGTCCTGAAGGAAAAGATACAAGCCTGGCTGTACTTACCACCTGTTGACCAAAGAGCCCTTGGGCCTTGAATAAACATTAGTTGTAGCCAGATAATAGTTGTTACAGGCCTTGGGCAAGACCCAGTACTATGCTGGCTTTAGGTCTGGCTCAGCACAGTCCCAGTGATGGTGGCTACAGCAGTGCTGTGTCACTCGTCCCTCAACATCAAGCAGCTCACCGTAGAAAGAGATACTCCATTCGTTTAGCGAAAAGTAAAGGAAGAGAACAAGAGTCTCTGTCTTGTAATACAAGGAAATTTCCTGGATCTTACCCAAGGCCACCAGGGCAGTACCTCTAACAGGCTGCAAGGTCACAGCATTACTGGGCTTGGGGTGCCCCCTAATGTATATATGGCTGCATTGACCGAAGATTTAAATCACAACATTCAATTCCTTTGAATACTTGGAAAACTTTTCCAGGAAAGAGGGGTACAAACAAGCCCAGATCATGAAGACTACAATAAGTACCTAACTGTTCAATGCCTAAACATTGACAAACATCCACAAGTATTAAGACCATCCAGGAAAACATGACCTCACCAAACAGACTAAAAGGCACCAGTGACCAATCCTGGAGTGACAGAGCTTTGTGACTTTTCAGACAGAGAATTCAAAATGGCTGTTTTAAGGAAGTTCAATGAAATTCAAGATAACAGAGAAAAAAATTCAGAATTCTATCAGATAAATTTAACAAAGAGATTAAAATAATTAACAAAAATTAATGAATTCTGGTGCTAAAAAATGCAACTGACATACTGACACACATCAGTCTCTTAACAGTAGAATTGATCAAGAAGAAAAAAGAATGAATGAGCTTGAAGATAGACTATTTAAACATACAGTCAGAAGAGATAAAAGAAAAAAGAATGAAGCACACCTAAGAGATACAGAAAATAGCCTTAAAGGGGCAAATCTAAGTTATTGGCCTTAAAGAGGAGACACGGAGTAAGACTAGGGTAGAAAGTTTATTCAAAGGGACAATAACGCAGATCTTTCCAAACCTAGAGGAAGATATCAATATTCAAGTGCAAGAAGATTATAGAACATCAAACAGATTTAACCCAAAGAATACTACCTCAAGGCATTTAATAATCAAACTCCCAAAGGTCAAGGATAAAGAAAGGATTCTAAAAGCCGCAAGAGAAAAGGAATAAATAACATACAAATGACCTCCAATACATCTGGTTTCACAGTGGAAAACTTACAAGCCAAGAGAGAGTGGCATGACATATTTAAAGTGCTAAGGAAAAAAGCCTTTTATCCTAGAATGGTATATCCCATAAAAATATCCTTCAGACACAAAGGAGAAATACTTTCCATGAGAAATAAAAGCCAAGGAATTTTGACAGCACCAGACCTGTCCTACAAGAGATGCTAAAGGGTGTTTTACAATCTGAAAGAAAAGGAAGTAAACAAGCAATAATAAATCATCTGAATGTACAAAACTCCCTAGTAATAGCAAGTACACAAACACAGAATATTATAACACTGTATTTGTGGTGTACAAACTATTTGTATCTTGAGTAGAAAGATGAAAGATGAATCTGTCAAACATAACAACTACAACAACTTTTCAAGACTTAAAACAGTAAGATATAAATGGAAACTACTGAAAGCTTAAAAGAAGGGATGAAGTTAAAGTGTAGTTTTCATTAGTTTCTTCTTTGCTTGTTTGTTTTTGCAATCAGTGTTATCATCAGTTTAAAATAATGGGTTATAAGATGTTATTTGCAAACCTCATGATAACCTTAAATCAAAAACTCTGTAACAGATACAGAAAAAATAAAAAGCAAGAAATTAAAATATGCCATCAAAGAAAAATCATTTCCTCAAAAAGAAGACAGGAAAGAAGGAAGGAAGAAGGAAAGAAAGGAAAGAAAGGAAAGAAGGGAAGACCACAAAACAATCTGAAAACAGATAATAAATTGGCAGTAGTAAGTCCTTACTTGTCAATAATAACATTGAATGTAAATGGACTAAACTTTCCAATAAAAAGACATAGCGTGGATAAATAGATTAAAAAAACAACATTCAACAATCTCTCATGTACAAGAAACACACTTCGCCTATAGAGATACATAGACTGCAAATAAAAAGATCGAAAAATATACTCCATGCAGATGGGAATCGGAAAAGATAAGAAGTAGCTATATTTTTATCAGACAAAATAAATTTCAAGACAAACCCTAAGAAAAGAGATAAAGAAGGTCATTATACAATGATAAAGGGGTTAATTCAGTACCTAACACTGGAGCATACAGGTAAATAAAGCAAATATTATTAGAGCTAAAGAGAGACATAAACCCCTGATACAATAATAGCTGGAGACTTCAACAGCCCACTTACAGCACTGGAAAGATTATTCAGATAGAAAATCAACAAAGAAACACTGGACTAGTGTTTCACACTAGTCTGCACTATGACCAAATGGACATAAGAGATATTCAAAGAACATTTCATCCAATGGCTAAAGAATATACATTCTTCTCTTCAGTACATGGTTCATTCAGTAGACCATAAGTTAGGCTACAAAACAAGTCTTAAAAAATTAAAATAATTGAAATCATATCAAGTATCTTTTCTGACAAGGATAGAATCAAACTAGAAATCAATAACAAAAGAAATTTTGAAAATTATACAAACATATGGAAATTAAACAATATGCTCCTGAATGATCAGTGGGGTCAATGAAGACATTAAGAAGGAAATTTAAAAATGTCTTGAAACAAATGAAAATGGAAACAAAACATACCAAAACCTTTGGAATACAGCAAAAGTAATACTAAGAGGAAGATTTACAGCAATAAGCACCTAAATAAAAAAGTATATAAACTTCAAATAAATAACCTAATGATATACCTTAAAGAACTAGAAAAGAAAGAACAAACCAAACCCAAAGTTAGTAAGAGGAAAGAAATAATAAAGATCAGAGTAAAAACACATGAAATTGGAACAAAAAATACAAAAGATCAATAAAAGAAAAAGATAATTTCTTGAAAAGATAAAATCAAAAAACTTTTAGCCAGACAAACTAAGAAAAAAGAGAGAAGAGCCAAATAAATAAAATCAGAGGTGAAAAAGATGTTGCAACTGATATTGTAGAAATTCAAAAGATTATTAGAGACTACTATGAGCAACTATATGCCAACAAATTGGAAAATCTGGAAGAAATAGATAAATTTCTAGATACATATAACCTACCAAGGTTGAAGCAGGGAGAAATTCAAAACCTGAATAGATCAATAACAAGTACTTAGTTCAAAGCTGTAATAAAGTCTTCCAGCAAAGAAAAGCCTAGAACCTGATGACTTCACAGCTGAATTTTATCAAACACTTAAAGAAATACTAATACCAATTTTTCTCAAAGTACTCCAAAAAATAGAGTAGGAGAGAATACATCCCAACTTATTCTATGAGACCAGTATTACCCTGAAACTAAGCTAGACAAAGACACAACAAAAAGGGAAAACTACTGGCCAATATCCCTGATGAATGCTGATGCAAAATCCTTAACAATACACCAGCAAACTGAGTTCAACAACACATTAAAAAGATGATTCATCATGACCAAGTGGGATATATTCCGGCGATGCAAGGATAGATCAACACACATAAACCAATCAATGTGATACATCATATTAACAGAACGAAGGAGAAAAATCATATGATATTTCAATTGATGATAAAAAGGCATTTGACCAATATTCCTTCATAATAAAACTCCCACAAAACTGAGTATAGAAAGAACATGCCTCAATACAATAAAAGCTATATATGACAAACCTACAGCTAATATTATACTGAATGGGAAAACTGAAAGTCTTTCCTCTAAGATCTAGATCAAGGCAAGGATGCCTGCTTTCACCACTGTTACTCAACAGAGTACTGGAAGTCCTTGCTAGAGCAATCAGGCAACAGAAAGAAATACAGGGCATCCAAATTGCAAAGGAAGAAATCAAATTATCCTTTTTTTACAGATGATATGGTCTTATATTTGGAAAAACCTAGACTCCACAAAAAACTATTAGAGGTGATACACAAATTTAGTAAAGTTGCAGGATACAAAATCAACATACAAAAATCAGTAGCATTTCTATATGCCAACAGTGAACAATCTGAAAAAGCAATCAAGAACATAATCCTGTTTACAATAAGTACACATAAGATGCAATATCTAGGAATAAACTCAATCAAAGAAGTGAAAGATCTGTAAAACAACTATAAAACAGTGATGAAGGAAATTGAAGAGGACATAAAAAATAGTACACAAATAAGGAAATTGAAGAGGATGTAAAAAAATGGAAAGACATTTCATGTTCATGAATTGGAAGTATCAATATTGTTAAAATGTCAATTATATCCAAAGCAATCTATAAATTCAATGCAATCCCTATCAAAATGCCAATGATATTCTTCACAGAAATAGAAAAAACAATGTTAAAATTTATGCGGAACCACAAAAGACCTAGAATAGCTAAAGTCATCTGGTGCAAAATGAACAAAACTAGAGAAATCTCATTAACTGACTTCCAATTATACTACAGAGCTATAGTGATCAAAACAACACGGTACTGGCATAAAAACAGACACATAGACTAATGGTACAGAATAGAGAACCCAGGAATAAATGTATACATCCACAGTGAGCTCACTTCCAACTTAGGTGCCAAGAACATACACTGAGGAAAGGACAGTCTCTTCAATAAATGGTGCTGGGAAAACTGGATATCCATATGCAGAAAAATGAAACTAGACCCCTATCTCTGACCATATGCAAAATTCGAATCAAAATAGATTAGAGACTTAAATATAAGACCTCCACTATGAAACTCCTAAAAGAAAACACTGGAAAAACTCTATAACATTGGTCTGCACAAAGATTTTATGAATAATACCTCAAAAGCACAGGCAACCAAGCAAAAATGAACAAAAGGGATTGCATCAAGTTAAAAAGTTTCTGCATGGCAAAGTAAACAATCAACAAAGTGAAGAAATAACCCACAAAATGGGGAAAAATATTTGCAAACTATCCATCTGACAAGGGATTAATAACCAGAATATATAGGGAGCTCAAACAACTCTATAGGAAAATATCGATTAATCAGATTTAAAAACTGGGCAATACAAAAATTAGCTGGGCATGGTGGTGGGTGCCTGTAATCCCAGCTGCTAGGGAGGCTGAGGCAGGGAGAACTGCTTGAACCTGGGAGGCGGAAGTTGCAGTGAGCTGACATCAAGCCACTGCACTCCAACCTGAGCGACACAGCGAGACTCTGTTTCAGGAAGAAGAAAAAAAAAAAGAAAAAAGAAACAAAACAACAACAACAACAAAACAAAAACTAGGCAAAAGATCTGAATAGACATTTCTCAAAATAAGACATACAAATGAATGGTAAACAGGTATGTGAAAGGTGCTCAACATCATTGATCATCAGAGAACTGTAAATTAAAACTCCAATGAGATACCGTTGCACCCCCAGTTAAAATGGCTTTTATCCAAAAGATAGGCTATAACCAATGCTGGTAAGGATGTGGAGCAAAAGGAATCTTTGTACACTGTTAGCGGGAATGTAAATTAGTAAAGCCATTATGGAGACTAGTATAGAGGCTCCTTAAAAACTAAAAATAGAGTTACCATGTGATCCAGCCACCCCACTCCTAGGTATATACTCAAAGGAGAGGAAAACAGTATATCAAAAAGGTGTCTGCACTCCTATGTATATTGCAGCACTAGCCACAATAGTGAAGATTTGGAAGCAACCTAAGTGTCCGTCGACAGATTAATTGATAAAGAAAATGTGTTACATATACACAATGGAGTAC
The DNA here is from genome assembly GCF_000001405.40 of Homo sapiens. Lineage (NCBI taxonomy): Eukaryota > Metazoa > Chordata > Mammalia > Primates > Hominidae > Homo > Homo sapiens. The sequence goes on along the minus strand of NC_000004.12, from coordinate 93,704,805 downwards.
TATTTGACCATAAAAATTGAGATCCTGTCATTTGAAACAACATGGATGGAACTGAAGGTCATTATGTTAGGTGAAAAAAATCCAGGCACAGAAAGAGAAACTTCACATGTTCTCACTTACTAGTGGGAGCTAAAAATGAAAACGATTGAACTCATAAAGAGCAAGATGATGGTTACCAGAGGCTGGGGAGGGTAGTGGTGGGAAGAAGGGAAGTGGGGATAATTAATGAGTTCAAAAATATAGTTAGAAAGATAAAACACCAAAAGCAATGGCAACAAAAGCCAAAATTGACAAATGGGATCTCATTAAACTAAAGAGCTTCTGCACAGCAAAAGAAACTACCATCAGAGTGAACAGGCAACCTACAGAATGGGAGAAAATTTTTGCAACCTACTCATCTGACAAACGGCTAATATCAAGACTCTACAATGAACTCAAACAAATTTACAAGAAAAAAACAAACAACCCCATCAAAAAGTGGGTGAAGGATATGAACAGACACTTCTTAAAAGAAGACATTTATGCAGCCAAAAGACACATGAAAAAATGCTCATCATCACTGGCCATCAGAGAAATGCAAATCAAAACCACAATGAGATACCATCTCACACCAATTAGAATGGCCATCATTAAAAAGTCAGGAAACAACAGGTGCTGGAGAGGATGTGGAGAAATAGGAACACTTTTACACTGTTGGTGGGACTGCCAACTAGTTCAACCATTGTGGAAGTCAGTGTGGCGATTCCTCAGGGATCTAGAACTGGAAATACCATTTGACCCAGCCATCCCATTACTGGGTATATACCCAAAGGATTATAAATCATGCTGCTATAAAGACACATGCACACGTATGTTTATCACGGCACTATTCACAATAGGAAAGACTTGGAACCAAGCCAAATGTCCAACAATGATAGACTGGATTAAGAAAATGTGGGACATATACACCATGGAATACTATGCAGCCATAAATAAGGATGAGCTCATGTCCTTTGTAGGGACATGGATGAAGGTGGAAACCATCATTCTCAGCAAACTATCTCAAGGACAAAAAACCAAACACTGCATGTTCTCACTCATAGGTGGGAATTGAACAATGAGAACACATGGACACAGGAAGGGGAACATCACACACTGGGGACTGTTGTGGGGTGGGGGGAGGGGGGAGGGATAGCATTAGGAGATATACCTAATGTTAAATGACGAGTTACTGGGTGCAGCACACCAACATGGCACATGTTTACGTATGTAACTAACCTGCACGTTGTGCACATGCACTCTAAAACTTAAAGTACATATAAAAAAAAATAAATACGATCTAGTATTTGCTACCACAACAGGGTGACTACAGTCAATGATAACTTATTATACATTAAAAATAACTCAAAGAGTATAATTGGAATGGTTATAATACAAAGAAATAATAGATGCTTGAGGTGATAGATACTTCATTTGCCCTGATGTGATTATTACACTTTGGATGCCTGTAACAAAACATCTCACGTACCTTATAAATATACTCACCTACTATATACCCCCAAAATTTAATAATGGATCTCTCCTATTCAATAAGAATTAGGAAAGTAACACTTTAGAAAAATGAGTTAAAATATTAGCTAGCAATTTACAATAGGGACAACACAAACGGTAAATTAACATGAATACATGCTTGATGTCAGAAAAAAATTAAAAATCCTAATGAGACAAATTTTTACCTTCATTTATCTAACACAAGTTAACCAGTGTGATAATATCAAGTAAGAGTGAAAATGTATAGCTTTTTTCCTTCACCCCTTTCAGTTATTTGCTCAAATATCACCTCCTAGTACAGTTTTCCTTGATCTCTGTATTTAAAATTGCATCTCCTATTCTAGCACTCTTTATTCCTCTCCTTGCTTCATTTTTATCCATAGTACTTCTCCCAATTGAGATATTATGTATTTATATTTATTTTCTGTCTCCCCACATTAGAATGCAAACTGCATTTAGACAGAGAGTTTTATAAACTTGGTTTACTGCTATACATCCCCTTCTAGAACACAGTCTGTCACATGAATGTGCAATAAATATTTATTAAATGAACAAATGAATGAGCAGGGGAAACTTCCAGAAATTGCTGAGGTAGTATCTATTGATACAAACACTTTCAGAAGCTATTTGCCATTAATGTTGAAGGTGTGCCATAAATTCCGTGTTTCCAATTCAGGTATATTCTCTCAGATAAACTCTTGCATACATGCCAAAGGAGATATGTACAATAATTTTTTTTAGCATTATGGTAACAGCAAATAGATGAAAGCAATACAAATACCCATGAATAAAATAATAAGCACATCTTAATGCATTCCTACGATGGAATACTGTGAAGCATTTAAAGTGAATGAACTAGAGCTACCTGTATATAAACATGGATAAATTTCAAAAACACAATGTTTAGAGAAAAAGACGAATTGCAGAACTGTGAGCAAATATGATGCCAATTTGCAAACAGATATCCAAAGTTATGATTAATAAGCAAAACAATTATTTGTTTTACAGAAGGACTTAATGCAGAATGCATTGAAATCTAGACATTCTTGGTGTATGGAATCTATTTACAAAAAGCCAATTTATATATAACAGGTTGAATTATACTGAGAATATATCTAGGGTTAAAACTTTTTGAAATGTTTGCATTTTCAGTTATTATTTGGAGACACAAGAGTCGATTTCATAATAAAAGTCTAATCAAGCATCACCAAACCAATGTGGCACAGAATAACTATTTTCTGGAAATACTGTAATAAAGTTAGTTAATGAATTCCTTTTAAAGTTGCTCACAGCTGGAAATATAAGACAAAACTTCATATCAGACTGATTATATTATATTATAATTACTGATTATATTATCTTAAATATGTAGGTTGCTTTTGTACATATAAATTAATAAACTGTCTTAAATTTGTAGCATATCTGTATGTTAAAAAATATATATGTATTTTTAGAGATGGGGTTTTACTATTTTGCTTAGGATAGACTTGAACTCCTGAGCTCAAGGAATTCTCCCACCTCAGCCTCCCAAGTATCTGGGACTACAGATATATGCCACCACACCTGCCTTTTATATATTTTTAAAGCAACATCCATTGAGGAGTTTTTATGCAGGACTTGTAAAGAGAAAAAAAAGTTAATGTTCTTGAACTTATCAAAATGGTCTGTTTCTTCTCTGTTCAAGATAATGTAAATTGTAATAATCATCATAGAGCTAATTCCCATATTCTTTTTTTCCAAACTGAGTTATCAAGTATAAAAGTGTTTTCTAAGCATTTGCTCCCATTAATTTAGAAAGTAGGCTCCCTAGGATATACTAATTTTTAGAAGAGAAATTAGCCTGAAATAATCAGCTTAGAAAACTTTAGTAATTGTTTTTATAGCATATGTTCTATAGAATTTACTAATTTGTTTTTCTCAGACACAACTGATTTTGAAGTTTTCAAGGAAGTCAGATTTTAAATCTCCTCCAGATAGCACTGGAAGCGTTAGCTCTAAACTCGTTCCAACTTTTTTAGAAATAAAGTTCTTGATTTGAAATCATTCCTTTTCCAATTTTCCTGTAAGATGGAAGTGGACAAGTCATGTGATATGATTGCTCAATATAGGAAGGAATAAAACATATTTAATACCAATCAAATTACTTTTTATTTTTTATTCCTCTTAGCATGCATGGGCTGAACAAAGCTTCCTTCACTGGGGATAAGTCTATATCTGAATGTCAAAAACTATAACTCTTTGTGAAGCTTGCTTATTAAGAATTTGCTATGGTTCATTTTACAATGACACCTTCATATTCAGTGGTGTCAGCATTTGGAGCAGCAATCTAGGATCAATTTATCTTGGCATTAAAAGGAGAAAAAAAAAGGAAAAGAAAGAATTGATAGCTTCACAAGAGCATATGGAATTGTTCAAAGATAAAACAGATTCATTATGGCACACACGTGCAATCCCCTTCCAAACCACCCTTCCTACCCCTATCTCAAGCAGCAGGCACCACTGCATTGTCAGTACAGACAGTGATAGCCCACAGGAATACAAAACAGCCTTAATGCCTCATTTGCTTAAGCAGCAAGACTACTTTATATCCTTAGATGATGTGCTGAACCCTCAGATAAAATTGCCTTAGGGGACAGAGCTTGTAGTGAGAAAAAGAGAGAGGAACAGCTTCAAAAATATTTTCTTTCTAGAGTTACCTCATTTTAGAAATATAATCAAACCTTTGTAAAGACATTGTTAATATACCCTGAAAAATGAGTGATGAAGTATGGAATGAGCTACTCTTTGCAACTCTAGCTGCATCATTCACAAATTATAATAGCTATCTCTCTTATTTAGAACTTCTAAATAAGATTGACAATTAATTGAGTCAATCGAAATGTTCAAGAGTGAATCCTTCACAGTGAGACTGAAGCTGCCCAAGAGATTATTAATGAAAATTATTTAAAAATTCATACAGGGTTGGGACAGGTTTTATTTATATACAGCAATGAAACCATGAATAAGATGGTTTATATTTAGAAATCTCTCCACTTGACTGTCTAGGAAAGTTCAGGAAAAACCTGCTCTGTATTAGAGTCATTTGTAATGTCAATCCACTTAGCAGGAGATTTGAAAGTATCCCAATGTAAAGTGAGACAAAAGGGAATTATACTAAGAGCACAGACCTTAAACTATCTTTGGGTAATTTTTTAAAAATAGCATATTTGATCCTGTTGTTTTTTTAGGGACTTGCTGCTGTAAAAACCTCTGGCCTCCACTGTGTCATACATTTCTGGCTGACACATTTTGTCTAGTTGAATGAGAACCCACATTTCAGAAGTCATTGAATTTCAGTTGGTTAGAAGTCTAGTTTAGAGCAAATATGTCACAGTTTAGAATAAATTCCCAGCTTATGTCAATAATTTTGGAGTCCCAGTTCACAAGGTTTTATAACATCAAAACAGAGAAAGTTGGAATATCATCTAATATTTTAAACTTTATGTCATAACTTATAACCAATTTTAAAGAGAAAAATCTGAGTAAAACATAAAAGCCTTCTTCAGTTCTTTAACTTTTCCTATTTCAGGACTCTCCCTTTCATACTCAGGGTTCCACCTTTGGATTCATAATCTCACACAACTGAAGACAGAACTATAAAGGGCTTTTGGCTTAGAAAAACCTGGGTTTTAATTCCAGCTTCTTCAATTAGCTAGCTATGTGACCTTTGGACAAACTACTTGGCTATTTTGAACCTCAGATTCTTTATTTGCAAAATATAGATATTAATATCTTATGGAAGTGTTCTGAGGAAAGTACATCCAGCATAGTTCTTGCATAACAACTGCTCAGCACCTGTATCCTTTCTACCCTTTCAGTGTCTTAATACGTCCTCACCTGTACTTCTCCCTCCTTAAAGAGAGTAAATACCTTAATTAACTTTTATGGCTATTTATATTTTTAAAAAGGTTAATTGGGGTTACATTAATGTTAACAATTTTGACATGGTCTAATTGTATCTGTTCAATTGTCTTTACTTCACCAAACTTACTGAACTCATTCCAAATGCTTTAGCTTCTTCTTCTTTCACCTCAACTTGCCTTTTAAAAAATTGGTAATTTTCTTCACAATTTCTCAAATGCTTTTTGCAATAACAGTATTTCTTCATTGGTGTTACAATAGTAATAAATAACAATTATAACAGCAACAGATGTTGAGGAGGTGTAAGAGTTGAAGCTAATTATAGGACGTTATAGGATGGGCACCCTACTTAGCACTTTACCTACTTTCTCATGTAATTTTCATAACAGCCATTGAAAACAGAAACTGTCATGGTCACCAATTTGCAAGTTAGGGAATTAAGCCTAAGGAAGACAGAGGAATTATCTCAAGGCCACTTAATTAACAAGTGGAAGAACTGGGGCTTAAACCCAGGCTTGCCTAATATCAAAATATTTGCTTTTAACCTATCACATCATATTACTTCTGTTAAACAGGATTCTTTTAGTGGAAAATTATTAAGTGTGATCCTTAAATAATGTGGTGAAGAATACTTTTGAAGTTAAATGGACTAACACAAATTTACAGAGAAAATGTAAAAATAAAATATTCAAAACTTATTCCTAAAATCAATATTTATTATAATTTAACATTGCAACACTTTATAATGCCAGCCAGTTATTAATTAATCTTTAAGCATAATTTTTCTTTATCAAGAAGTCTATTTTAGAACATAAAAGACAAAGTGCTTTCCCCCTTAATGAAACCTCAGTTCAAGTTATGACCTCAGTTAGTACATTCTACTCTCACGAATAGAAATAGAAACCACATTTACTTTTACATATTTATTTTCATGTACTTATAAAAAGAACATAACATATATCAGAGTCTCTTCTGTTTTTCTCAGATGCTGTGGATAAATATGGTTTATTAAACCCTGCAGAGACAAGCTGTTGTGTTTGTTGATCTGTTAAATGTTGTTATACAGCAGTTAAACTTGTACATGCTTGTTAGCTACATGTACTAATTTAGTGTATTGATAGGTTGTCAGTATAAGTATCTGATTTAACAGAATAAAACAGACACGCATTTGGAATTCACAGCGATTTCTATAATTTTTTGAAGGAGGAGAGAAAAAATGATCCAAATGATAGCTTATAAAAGTGTTTGACAGAGTTGAAAAGTGAACCTGAAAACATTTGACTAATTACTCTTATCAGCATATGTACAAGAGTTATAATTAAGAGTTTTGAAAGTGCAGTTACCAAAAATATCCCGTAAACTTTTATAGTAAGCATAGATCAAATATAAGCAGAATCCAGTAATTTTAAAAATAGAAAATAGAAGAAAGGTGTTAAAATTTTTCTTTTTTAAAAAAATGGACAAAATTGTATCGTGTACAACGTATTGTTTTGAAATATATATATACACACATTGTGGAATGACTAAATTGAGCCAGTTATCATATGCATTATCTCACATATCTTTTCTGTGGTGAGAATATTTCAAATCTATTCTTTTAGCAAATTTTAAAGATATAATGTATTGTTATTAACTATAGTCACCTTGTTATAAAATAGGTCTCCTGAACTTATTCCACTTATCTAATTGAAATTTTGAAATTTTGTATTCTTTGACCAACATCTTTCCCCCTCCCCTGTCTTTCATTTTGAAATAAGAAAGTGACTAATATTCGGTAGCATCTGGCACTGCATCTTCTTCTGGACAGTAAATTAAAATATGGATGATAATTGATTTTTGGCATGGAACAAATCCACCTTGGCTTCCAACAAAAGCACATATATACAAAATGAACTAAATAGACCAAATTCCTGGAGTCTCAAGTGAAAGTGACCGTCATCTGCTATGTCTGCCTTTTGGAACTAGATTATAACCTGAGTTCTTAAACTTGATGTGTAGCCCACAAACTCTCTGTCACTTGTTCACAAGAATTGGAATGATAAGCCAATCAACTTCAACCATAGTGTGTGAAGGATTCTAAGAGCCCACAAACTAGTCTACTTCTTTTCAGAAAAGAATTATTTCCCATTACTGATGGAAATAATTATTTACTTCAATTCAGTTGTGAAATAAATAAAAATATTAGCACTTGTGTTGCTTCATTAAAACAGTCACATTAAAATCCTTGTCTCTAAATTCCAGAAACCCAGTGTTTATCAAATATCCAAATTTGAATTGCCTAATATTTGTAAAACCATTGAATAATCTTAAGATACATGTCTTTGATTTTACAATAATTTTAGTATTTTTTGCATAATAGCATGTTTCAGGAAAATAACATAGAGTGGGTTAATGCATTATGACATCAGTTTTTTCTTCAAAAATCCATTGTTGAATATCTATAATGTGGAACGAATTGCATGTTTGCATGGACTCTGTAGAAGCCTGTAAAGGTAGATTAATACGCGTAAAATACTACAATTCTGGGTCTGATATATGCTGTATTACAAGCCAAAATTTGGGATTATAGAGGAGGGAGTGATTAAAAGGGCAGGAAAAGCTCAAACTGATATTTGAGCAGGATGTTGGAAGTTATTGAGAATTGTGACAGTGGTTATGGCAGAGTATTGCACTTCTAGTTTCAAATTTGAGGTGAAAAGTGGACCTGAAATTTGGCAATTATTTGAGAGTTTTCGCTAATGCTTTAAAACAATACATATGTAACTAACCTGCAGGTTGTGCACATGTACCCTAAAACTCAAAGTATAATTACAAAAAAAGATTTTAGTTTCTTTCATTTTTCTATGTGAATGTCAACTCAGTTTTCTTCATTGTTGTAAACACCAAGGGAGGAGAGGTTTTAAGAAGTATCAAATCCTGCAGCAACGTCTTATAGCCTGAGTGCTGGAAAGAGAGTATTGAGTGAGATAATTAGGAGGTTATTCTTATTTTTGCAGAGATAAGTTTTAAAAGTGTTAAATTGAGCAGTTGATTATCGGCAGTGGAAGAAACTGAATGCAAAGTGAGGAAATGCTGACAGCTGATGTGGAAGCAGACAGTTTGAGAGAGAAGCCAGCTAAGTAAAGGGAAGAAATCAAGAAGGTCAAGTGTGGAAGATGACAAAGATCAGCCAGCTGAGGCAAAGAACGGATGATGTAGAAGGGTGGAACATGGTCAGTATATAGATCTTAGGTTATACTTCATCAGCTGGGAAAAACATGTGGAATATGTTACCTTTGGAAATAGAATTTCATAAGCTTTAATATGGAATGATTATGGTTATTTACATATAAGAAATCCATCTTAAGCAGTGTGTAAATACGTTCTTTGTGAAGTTATAGTGTGGTTTTACCAAGGAATCTCAGTATGTTGCTTGGCTTGGCATGTTTGTTAAAACAGATATGCATATATCCATTTTATAAAGTTTTGCAAATTACAGAGCATTTTCAAATACATTATCTCATTAAGTGGTCACATAGCTAATAAGAGGAAGATAGCATTGTCTTTTCACATTTAAGAAGTTGAGCGGCTTAGAGAGGCTAAGTGACTTGTAGAAGCCACATGGCTAAGAAAATGGCATAGTGGACACTCTTCTAGTCCCATGCTCTCTGGCTGTCTCCTAATCAACTAGTTTGATCCCTTTCTCTAGTAACTGTCTGTTGAAGGACTAATATACACACATAGAGAAAATAGAGCCAAACAATGACAAGGTGTTGGTGATTTTTCAGCACCGTCTAACACAGGCATCATCCTGACCATAGAGCATGGCAGGAGATGGGTGTACCAAGCTATCCTAATTCACTTATGGTATTCATTATTGTTCATTTCCTTTTGATGATTCCTCTGGTGTTTACTAAAGCAAACTTGCAGTAATTATTTTATGTGTACAGAAGAAACGTGCACTGACAAATAGACATAGGCATTCTAGTCTTTTGGTTCTACACGTCTTAACATAAATTACTCTTCTTACAATTTGATTTAATGCATTTCGATTGTGCCATTATAGCCCAGTCCTACAATAAATGAGTATTAGGTAAATTCTGGATGAATTAAAAAATACACGAGGTTGAGGCTAAAAGTCTTATCTATGAAAAATACGACAAAGTCTTTCCAGCCTCCAGTGCCCTTCCATGGCGCTCAGTAACCATTTTTTTTTTTTTTTTTCCGAGACGGAGTCTCAGTCTGTTGCCCAGGCTGGAGTGCAGTGGCTCGATCTCGGCTCACTGCGACTTCCGCCTCCCGGGTTCAAGCAGTTCTCCTGCCTCAGCCTCCTAGGTAGCTGGGACTAATGGCGCCCGCCACCATGCCGGGCTAATTTTCATATTTTAGTAGAGACGGGGTTTCACTGTGTTGCCCAGGCTGGTCTCGAACTCCTGAGCTCAGGCAATCCGCCCGTCTCGGCCTCCCAAAGTGCTAGGATTACAAGCGTGAGCCACCGCCCCGGCCACCATTCTGAACATTTCTTTGATACAAATATATGGAGTTTAAGATCTTCGGGGTGAGCATTTCCGGGTAATTATAAATTCACAATACTGTCATGTGTGTGTGAGTGCCTGAGGTCAAATGAAAAGCAAGTTCATCAAATATGATAAGTGAAGTAACTCTGAAGACAGTTAAACGGGTGGTCGACGTTGATGCCCTGTAAGAAAATGGATGAGGAGAAAGAAAAATTTTGATTCCATAATACAACCATGAACTTTAGAATATGGAGGAATGTTTGTAAAGTGATAAGGACTGGGAGGCGTGGCAAGATGTTTGTATTTTAAAATCATGGATTTCAAAAAGTGTTAAAACAGAAGTGATAAGTCAATGCAATGGAAAGAGACATCAGTGGTAGAGGATTGAAACTGCATCATACATGGATCGCAAGACCCAGAGGCCTATACATGACAGTAGCCAAAGCAAGAGGTGTCATGCGTAGCAAGTAAGCTGTAAATCAACATGAGGATGTGGAAGACCTACTGAATGGAAACAGTAAGGCTAAATGAGACCTTGATAATAACAAAGTAGTAGGTTCTGGGGGCTTTGCGGAAGACACAGTGAGGAGGTTGGTTGGGTACATGGCCAGGCAATAGGGCAGAGTTAAGTGGGGAGGAGCCATAGCAGTGTTTGGGAGAGCAGGATCACAGAAATGAAAGTGCAATTGAGACGGAGGACAATGGGCTGAATATGAAGATGAGAAACGTGTAGTGATTACTGAGTTCAAACCACACGTCTTATAAACAGTTTCTTCCCTATCTGATATTTAAATTTTAGCCCTATTCTTTTCCGTCATGGTACAAACTCTCCTACCTTTTGACTAAAATCCTTCCAGTGCTTCATGTGTCTCTCTTAGGGAATATCCAGCCTTGATTTACAGTTCTTTGCTCTTTGTTTTACAATCACATTTCCTGTCTTGATTTATATTTCTTGGGTCCTCTGGGACTTATTGTCTCTTAAAGTCTGATTTATAGTAGTTTTCTCCTCAACATACTTATTTAAGAAGTTTTGCTTTACAGTAAATAATTATTTCCATAATATATATTTTTTCAGATTTTTTGGTCCCAAATTACTGGTGCTGTGGTGGTTTTATTGTGTTCTCACACAATGAAATTACTGTGGTCCTCGACTAATGGCGAAAATTAAATCTCTTAGTTTGTTTCATAGAACAATACAGTATTAATAATAATTTACCACAGCACTTCAATTTTTTACTGTGAAATTTTAGGTACAGAAAAGTTACATGCTACCACTCAACCATGCTCAGAACAGTAACATTAAGAATGCATATTTTCTCCTAAAAACTACTTAGACTAATTTCTCATATTTCTGCTATATAAAATGTAGTCTTTTCTGATGTCAAACACACTTTAAATAGAAAACAAAACAGCTTGGTAATTTTATAAAACTACCCTCAGGGGATATCTAGTTTTCAGGTCATTATTCTTCAACTAATATTCATTTGAGTCAAACAGATGTATATTTGTGCTTGCGGATTCCAGTATTAAGAGTTTCTAGTACGGCGAAGCAGATGTCAAAGTTGTCAAACAAATGTTCATTGTACTTCACCCAGATAATACTGTGACTTATACAGTTTCTAAATGCAACACTAGTCTTGACCTTATGAGTATTACCCTTTGCTTCTGGAAGCTAATATAAATAAGCTGATTCAAAATGTTAGACATATTCAAGTCTTTACTTTTATAATTTCTTGTTAATGCAAAATCAACCTTTAGCAAATAGATAAAAGAAATAGTAAAACTCAAGGCCAGATGGATTTATTTTCTGAAATGTAGTAAAACATAGCAGATCTTAGTTCAACTGGCAATCACTAACAAGCTTCCTGATTTATAACAGCTCTCCCTACATGAATAGCATCTTTTCACCATATTTATATTGCACTAAATAATGATACTTGTAGGCAATCATAAAAATTAATGAATGAGCTAATGAGAGCTTTCCAACTTATAATCTGCATGAGAAAACACAGTTAAACTGTCGTGTAGTGAATGAGGACAATCTGCAAAAACTGTAAGTAGTTACCAAAAAATAGCATGTTCATTCCTTCAGTCAATGAAGAAAACTTTATAAACATGTATAAAGTGTACGTCATTACTGTGCTAGATACAGGAGAAATCAAGAACTTTAAATGTAGTAGGAAAGGAGGGATAGAACCTGTCTTACCTTAGAATATGTCATTATATTACATATGATTAAAACTAGAAATTATTTACACAATGGCCTAAATGATATGAGGCTAAGTATACATAATTCCAAATACCTGGATAGAAACTGAAAATTTTGAAACAAATATAAAAATATTACTTAATGATTTTTAAATAAAATGACTAATGCTAAGAACTGCAAATAATAACTAAAATTTATGGAGCTCTTTCTATGTAGCAGATACATTCTTGGTGTTTTACATGTGCTAAATTCATTTAATCCTCATAATACCCCCATGAGGGCATTTATAGGGCTTTTCCAGGCATGTCCCCACCTCAGTACTTTTGCACTTGCTGTTTGCTCTGCCTGGAAAGCTTTTACTTCATATCCATGTGGCTGGCTTCCTCACTTTCTTCAGGTTATTATTCAAATGGCATATCAGTAAGGCCTTCTTTTCTAAACTCTATTCTAAATTTGCAACCCCCCCAATTTTTATCTCACTTTCTTGACCATTTTTCTCCTTAGCAGCTATCACTTTTTAATATGTGCTATATTTTTTACTTATTTGCCTTTTCACTGCTTCCCCGCCCCGCATTTGAATACATGTTCTATGTAGGTAAGAATTGTTGTCACTTTTTTTGACTTTTTTGACTTCTTGATTTCCATGATTCCTAGAACAATACTGAGCATATGTAAAAGTGTTCAATGAATATTTGTTGAATGAATGAATATGGTTAGGACTATTATAATCACACATACATACACACACACACTGTTTACATGTTACTTAAAAACTTTATATTTAAATATACTTATATTTGAAATTAGTATATAAAATTATATGTCAGATCTCAGAGAATGAAAATGAGAAAATATCTATATATATGTAAATTCTTATGTGCAGATGGAAATAAAATAGTCTCTAGTATGTGAGCATAGCTATAGAATTCAGGTAATAGATACTATAATTTATTTTCTATTTAAAAAATGTGAAATAGCACACATCTTTCTTGTCTTCAGCATGATAAAAATAGCTACCATTTATTAAGCATCAATTAAGTTACAGTGTTAAAAGCCATTGCAGTTGTTTTCCTCTTCTATTCTATAAATGAAAAATACTAAAACTAAGCAAAGTTAAATAACTTCTAATAACTTTTAGGTCACAAAGCTAATAAACAGCAAAGTTGAGATTTGAACTCAGGTCTGCCCATAACAAAACCCTGGACACTTTTCATGATACCTTGCTACTCTCCTTGGTTTTATGCTTAAAATACAACCAACTATTTGAACTTTTTGTGCTGTTTTTTAACTTCTGTGTCTAGACCTATTGACCACATTAAAGCAAAAATAACACATCCATAAAACGCTTTGAATAATCTGATAATTATCTTTCAAGAAAATAGGAAACCAACCTAATTATTTCATGCTCTGAATAAAATTTGTTCTAATCAATCTATCATTTGAAACATCCAAAGATCATCATTAAGTTTATTTTAGAATTTTAAAGTAATCAAATTAACTATGGAAATAGATATTTTGTAACAAAGATGACATCTATTTGTATTTCACATTTTAAATCAATAAAATAACCTGATATTAAAAGCTATTGCACAGTTTTTTATAATCAGAAAAAGACTTTCAAGTGTTTATTAAAAGTCAAGCAGACTAAATACATATATAATATTTTATAAGTATGCTTTTTTAGTGATATTAAAATGAAAGACTTATTTATATATATTATGTATGTTATAATATATATAAAATAAACTATTATATATAAAGCTACATAACATAAAGTGTTATAATATTACATAAAAATGTTATAACATATTATATATAAAACAACATATTATATATAAAATAAGCCTTTCATTTCATTATATTGGAATGATTATCTAGTTCAAAGTTCAAACCAGATAATCATTCCAGTATAATGCACTATGTATATGTACATTATATTGAAATGATTATCTAGTTCAGCTTTCTCAGTGAGAGAAAATAGTGAAAAGGGGTAAGGGTATGTATTTAGAATTGAACTGTGGTGAGCCAAGCTCATTTAAATTTGTGATGAGAAATATTTCTTTCTGGTTCAATTGTTTACTATTTTCCTCAAGAATATACTCATGACAACTCATTAGGAAAGCAATTTGCCAGTTTTTATCAAAAGGCTTCAAAATGTTCAGACCCTCTGATTTAATAATACATTTCTGGGAATTTATACCAAGACCATAATTTGAAATTTAGGAAGAGTTTTATACACAAATATGTTCACTGCAGTGTTATTTTAAATTATTTAAATTACAAAAATAATGAATGCTCCTTAAATAACACAGAAGTACATGCAGTAGAGAGTGACAGTACTTCTTCTCAGAAGCCCCTTCCTCCACACCTGCCTCAGAAGTTATCTTATTGTGCGTTTTTTATAGCCTAGCATTTGTTTGAAGAAAGCATATTTTATATGTATGTACCCCCACAAGGTTGTTTCACATATAGGATCATGTGATGAGATCAATTATTTTTATCAAAGCCAAAAAAAGAATGTTTACATAAAGTTTGGTGTAGCTACTGTGCAAATTGTATACAGATTTTAAAAGATTTGCAAATAAGTTTATCCTATAGCATTAAAAGGAAGATATAAAATTATACATGGAATTATAGTTATGTATACACTCCTATTAATACACATTCCAGAATAAAATAAATTCAAATGTTATTAGTTATCTTTGGGTGATAGGATATTAGATGATTGTTTTTGTCTCTCTGACTTTTCTGTATTTTCCAAATTTGTAGTAGTAAATGTAATGTTTAGTTAGATTTTTGGAGGATGCTTTCTTTATCCAGAATCAGGAATTCTGAATTTGAATATTTTAAATGAAATCCAAGTGTTCTGCTTTGAAGATTACATTATTAATCATTTAAAATATCTTAGTTTGAAGAGAAAAATCAGAATATCCTTCACTGACATAATGTAATGATGCCAAAAGACTATGTTTTCTTCATGTTTGTAAAGTGCCCTTTTTGTTACCAATGCTTGAGTCTCAGTATTTACATAGGGTAATTTTTTTTTGAGTTTCTTTTGGGATGGAACAAAGAGAAAATGCTAAATTAATGAATTTGACTCAGGTGTTCTCAAGGTCAGTTCATTGATGGGCAGAGTCACTCATTTCTCCAGTTCAAGGAAGTCTGATCTGGAGCAATTAGAGGCTTATCTTTGTTATGCAAATTTATTTGTTAATGATTTATTTATCCAAAACTATTTATTAAGTGATTATGATTGCTGGGGACTTTGGCACAACTGAATTATTTCTCAGAAGGCCATATAGTTCAACATATTGAGTTAGTAATTCAACATATTGACACCCATGGAAGAAGTGAAATGCTTTGTTTCTACAATAGTGGGAGAGATGTTGTATTAGTTTGTTAGGACTGCCATAACAAAGTACCACAGACTGGGTGGCTTAAACCACAGAAATTAACTTTCTTACAGTTTTGGAGGCTAGAAGACTGAGATCAAGGTGTCAGCAGGGTTGGTTTCTCCTGAAACCTCTCTCCTTCCTTGGTAGATGGTCACCTCCTCCCCATTGTCTTCACGTCGTCTTCTCTCTGCGTGTGTTTGTGTACTAATTTCATCTTCATGTAAGGACAACAGTCATCTTTTTTAAGGGTCATCCTATGGACCTCACTTTCACTTAATTACCTCTTTAAAAACCCCGTCTTTAAATACAGTCATATTCTGAAGTACTAAGGCTCAGGACTTCAATATACGAATTTTGTAGGGACACAATTTTGCCTGTAACAAGTAATGAGAACTTAGGAGTTAGATGATCTGAGTTAGTGTTACAAATTGGTCACTTATTCTAACTTGCTATAAGATCATGAGTGAGTTATTTAGCCTTAGTTCTCATCTGTGTAAATGGACAGTATAATGTTATTGTGATGGTTAAATAAAAAACATTCTGTCTTTTGACAAGTACTTATAAGAGGGCCACTCTTTTCCAGGCATTATGCTAGACATCCATAGATGCAAATATTTTGTACTTGCCTTTCATCCTTAAAGGAAGAAATATAATGTCTTTCTATGTAGAGGTATATTTACAAAGCATAGAAATAACACTTTGAATCACACAGATCAGGGTTGAAATCCAGATATTGCGAATTATTACTCTTATGCTTTTGGGCAAGTTATCCGACCTCTCCAAAATGGTTTTACCTTTTGAAAAATAAGGACAAAATACTCTACCTTTCAAGGTTATTATAAAGATCCAGTTATATAACATATATAAAATGCCTTTTAGATACCAAGAATATAGCATTGTTAATTAATTCTAGCAAGCATCAAGTAGCAGTGAGGCTATAACAGGAACAAGTAGAAGAAAATGTTCAGGTGTACAGGTGGTAAACACCTGAAGATGAGTGCCTCATCTTTCTATCAGATTTGGAGATTTACACTGTAACCTCACAGAGAAAGAAAAAAAAATACTGTTTTTCTAGTAGCCTTGTTTTTATTTTCTGAGACAGCAATTTCATAATCAAACTTGTGAGACTGCCTCTATCCCCTCATTCTCAGCTGTTGATCTCACTTTATATTCCACTGATAAACAGAAACTATCAGATGTGAACTACTTTATCTTCCTGCCATCCAACCCAGTTGCACCTGCATAGGTGGCTCTTCTTCCCTCATTTTATAATGGAGAAAGTGTCAGTCCTCCCATCAAGGGACAATTCCTCATGTCATTCTGAAGGACTTTTCTCCTTGGCTGATTATTTTTCTCCTATATCCGTCTTTGCCTCTCTACTAGATCATTTCCATTAGAATTCATACATAATATACTTTTATAATCTTAAAACTTAGCTTTGATTCCAGTTCTCCTTTCAATTACCACCCCATTTCTTTATTCTTTTATAACAGAAATACTTGAAAAAGCTGTCTGTACTTATTAGTTCCATTTTCTCTTCTACAATTCTCCTAAACTCATTTTAATCAGACTAATTGGATTTTTATCCTCACTATTTTTATCCTCACTATTCTCCCCAAACTTCTCTCCTCATTATGAATCCAGTGGTCAATTCTAAATCTTATTTGTTAAATCAATCCTTCCTTGAATTTCTTTCTTCAAGTGCCCTCTGGGTGCTATACCACTGTTTTCCTTCTGCTTCCCTGGCTGTTACTTTTTGGTGTTCTTTGTTTGTACTGCCTTTTGATCTCACCTCTTAACATGTGAATGCCTTAAAGCTCAGCCTTCAGCCTTCTTCTCTTCTGCTGACAACTCCTACATTTATATTTCTAGCCAGGACCTCTCCCCAGAACTCCAGGCTTATAAAATAAACTGGCTAAGATCTCCCACTGGGATGTCCAATAGACATCTCAAACTTAATATGCCCCAAACTGAACTACCAATAATTTCCCTTCCACCCCCATTGCAACCTAGGATTTCTGCAATTTTCCATATCTACTGATGGTACTCCATCTTTCTGGTGCAAAGGCCAAACATTTGAGAGACATCCTTTATTTTTGTCTTATTTTATAAACCTCTCTCTCTCAGATTCCACTTCCAATCCATCAGCTATCAATTTTCAAATATATCCAGACTCTGAACACTTCTCACTGTCTCCACTGGTAACACTCATGTCCAAGATAACAGCATCTATCATCTGGATTTCCATAGTAGCCTCCTAACTGTTCTCCCAGCTTCTATCTTTCCCACTTTCAGGCGGTTTTCAGTGCAGCAGTCAGATCATGTCTCTTCTGTGCTCAAATTGCTACAATAGCTTCTGTTTCACTCAGAGTAAAACCAGTATCCTTATAGTGGCCTCCAGAGCTTCATGTATCTGGCCCATAATTGCCACTCTTACCTCATCCTCTACCTCTTTCCTTCCTTGGCCTCTACTCAAAATGCACTGGCCTTTTTACTATTTCTTCAGCAACTAGGTGTCCTCCCACCTCACTAGGTGAGCTCTCTTTCTGAAACACACTTCTCCCGGATATCTCCAAGGCTCATCCCCATACTTTCTTCATTTTCAGTCATATGCCACTTTATCAAAAAGATCTGTCCTAACTGTCCGTTTTAAAATTGCAAACATCCCACCCCAATCCACAACTTTCTACCTTGTATTTTTTTATGGGACTTGCTGACTTTTAATGTTATATAATTTACCACTGAAATGCAAGTTCCATGAAGGTGGGGATTTTTTTTTTTCTATTCGTCTGTTTACTTCTATATCTTAAGCCTGTAAGCAATATCTGGCACATAGTAGCTGATGAACATTTGCTGAGGGAACAGTTGGACTGCAGAGGTAGGAGACTGAAAGCAGTAAGACTGGTAAAGAAGCTAGTGGTGATGGGACCTGAAAAAGAGCCATGGGGATAGAGAGAAGGAGATACGTATGAGATATTGATAAGACCTCATGAGCAGGGTTTAGGGATTCACTGGATGGTACAGAGTGGAAGCTGGGGGCAGGAGAGAAGGTGAGTGTGACTCAAAGGCATCTGCTAGGTAATTGGGTGGATGGTGATAAGATGAATTCGGTGAACTAAGAAAGAGAATACGAGACGTAGAGATAGTTTTGGCAATGGAGAGACAGAGAGTTCATTTTTAGATAGTTTCTATTAGAAATAGGGTGAAATAGCTGAGAATAATAATAATAGAATAATAACTGCATCTGCAACAGCAGCAGCAGCAGTAGTAGTGGTGGTACTAATGGCAAGAGCTAGCATTTATTGAACACTAACTTATGTCAGACACTGTATCTCACAGCCTCTCTCCCCTGTGTTTTAGAGAAAAGGAGGCTGAGAACATACAGAAATTAAGGACAATTTGTTCAAAGTGATTTGACTTCTCTGAATAGAATTTGTATACAGAATGTAATGAATGGAAATAGGGGCAGAGTCAAGAATAGAAACCCAAGTAGTCTGGTTCTAGAGTCTGCTCCCTTATCACATGGATATAAGTGTCTAAAACTTGGTAGAGAAAAGTTGATGGGAAGCAGAGAATTGGAAGTGCCTAATATATAGGTGATAATCTAAATCCATGAAGGGAGATGAGATTATCCAGGCAGAGTTTGGACTGCTAATATCACCATTGCTAACTAACTACTGGTGTCATTTAGTGAGCACCTACTATAGGTCAGACATTAAACTATGATGGTGAACAAGATAGATCTGATCTCTACTCCTATGGAAATTACCAAGAGTTAAAAATAGTAACACTTGTTTTAGTTGTGACGTTAAAATGAGAGGAGATCTACTTTGGGGAAATTCAAAGAGTTGGCAATGAACCTGGCTCAGTTCCAGGAGTCAAGGAACACCTCTTTGAGGATGTGACGTCTGAGCTAGAAGGGAAGAGACAGGTAACAGCACATGATTTTGATAAGACAAGTCCCAAGATCAAAGAACAAGCTAGTGAAAGCAAGGGAGTAAAAATCGGTAAGGTTTTGAGATTGTCCTCAGAACAGGGATACAAAGCATTCACTCACTACTTGGTACAGACACCAGTACTTAACAATTTCTAACTTTTCTTCTTTACATGATAAAGTGTGTGAATGAGATTGGATTATTTGGGCAGAGTCCTTATAGTCATAAGCCAGGAGAGGCATTTTGCCTTTTTTTCCTTTTTATCAAGCCATAAACTGTTATTTGTTATTCTGTTTGCAAATAGCCTGGACTAATATGGAAGATACTCCCACAGATTTGCCATTTTCAGCAATGGTTATTTACCCCTTGAACAAGAGAGCCTTTTACCACCCCCACTCACCTATTTCATATCATATCCTACAGATTTTAAATCTATTTCTAAATATGTTATGATAAAGAGTTTTGCTTGACCAAACTTTAGTCATGGTCCCGAGTCTTCACAGAGCCCCATTTGTGTACTTCATGTAAAATCCAATTTTGGGAAGAACTGTGCTAAGTCAGTTTAGCAAGAACCCTCCCCCTATACAATAGATACTGTGTTCCTCATCCTCTACCACTCCCCACGTGATATCTGATCACCCTGGCCTGTTTGTGGCAAGAATCCTGTAAGGCTGGTTTAGCCAGCATCCCCTGTACCCTCGATGTTTCTTAGTCATCCATTGAGCCCCACTCTGCTTCTTGGCTATAAATGCCTTCTTGCCCACCTGTCAATGAACTGGCCTTGAGAACACCTGAGTCAAACTCATTAATTTAGCATTCTCTTTGTTTCACCCCAAAAGAAACTCAAAACAAAATTATCTCATAGAAATACTGAGACTCAAGCATTTGTAGTCAATGGTAACAAAAAGAACACTTTTTCAACATGAAGAAAACACAGTCCTTCAGCATCAATATATTATGTCAATTAAGCATATTCTGATTTTTCTCTTCAAACTAAGATCTTTTAAGTGATTAATAATGTAATCTTCAAAAGCAGAACACAAGGATTTCATTTAAAATACTGAAATTCAGAATTTCTGATTCTGGATAAAGAAAACATCCTCCAAAAATCTAACTAAACATTACATTTACTACTACAAATTTGGAAAATACAGAAAAGTCAGAAAGACAAAAACAATAATCTAATATGCTATTATCCAAAGATAACTAATAACATTTGAATTTATTTTATTCTGGAGTGTGTATGAATAGGTGTGTATAGATAACTATAATTCCATATATAATTTTATATCTTCCTTTTCTCTTAATGCTATAGGATAAACAAGCCATAGAATTTCAATTGAAAATAACCTTACCTTATGTCTCTCCTCTACTGCAAAATCCCATTGCAGTGGTCCCTATACCTTTTGCAATGTTCCTGAATAAAGTCGTCCTTATCATGCTTTAAAAAGTGTCATTGAGTAATTTTTACTTTAACAGTTAATACACCACAATTGTGTTGGTTTTATAATAATATGGGACAATCCTATGTGTTGTAACCTCCTGAAACACAGAGAGATTGTGGATAGCTTATACTTTTAAATAAAATAAATGATTTTCCCTACACAAAAATTCATAAGTACAAAAACATGTATCTTGGCATATTTAATGAAGAGAACTGTAACAAAACTATTATTTATAAATCATAAAACACTGGAATGCTAATTGCCAAGTTTCAGTAGTTAGGAAAAGGGCAGTAATGCTGTCAATTGTTTAGCTAAACAAAATAAAAATTTTCTCCTAAAATAACTCCTCACTTTACGACTCAGAATCTCTTAAGCAAATACCAGAACACCAATTTCAAGAAAGAACCAAAATCACATGCATTTACAGTAAGCAGAGTATAGGAATATTTTGGCTAAGTCTGTCTTCCTAGGCTCATAGGATCATGTTCTAAAACTTGCTTTTCTTATCTTAAGGCGAATTCCAGTCAAAGACTGAAACTGCCATTTAACCTTGCATCTGCTATGTTGTATTTAAAGATACTAAGCCTGAATTATCATGATTAAAATTCAGTGCATTATTCTTCCAGAACACAGACTCTTGTGATGTAACTTGAGATCTGAGCAGGGTTATAGTTTAGAAGCAGGCCTATAGGTGGAAATGGTGGACAATTCAAATGCCAAGGAGAAGCCCAGGGAGAGAGGCTATGCTGATGAGAATGGCAAATAGAGAGCTTTTTTTCCCCCCAAAGGTAACATCTTAAAAAGGTTAGAAATGTATGACCTTAAAAATGTTAGCAATTTAAATTTTCCCTATTAATGGGAAAGATATATTGAATCATATTTCCCTCAGTTTTTAACCTAGGGTTTTTTTTTCTTCTGAAACAGATACGGGTGTTTTTCTTTTCTTTCTTTTTTTTTTATTATTATTATACTTTAAGTTTTAGGGTACATGTGCACAATGTGCAGGTTAGTTACATATGTATACATGTGCCATGCTGGTGTGCTCCACCCATTAACTCATCAGTTAGCATTAGGTATATCTCCTAATGCTATCCCTCCCCCCTCCCCCAACCCCACAACAGTCCCCAGAGTGTGATGTTCCCCTTCCTGTGTCCATGTGTTCTCATTGTGCAATTCCCATCTATGAGTGAGAACATATGGTGTTTGGTTTTTTGTCTTTGCAATAGTTTACTGAGAATGATGATTTCCAATTTCATCCATGTCCCTACAAAGGACATGAACTCATCATTTTTTATGGCTGCATAGTATTCCATGGTGTATATGTCCCACATTTTCTTAATCCAGTCTATCATTGTTGGACATTTGGCTTGGTTCCAAGTCTTTGCTATTGTGAATAGTGCCACAATAAACATACATGTGCATGTGTCTTTATAGCAGCATGATTTATAGTCCTTTGGGTATATACCCAGTAATGGGATGGCTGGGTCAAATGGTATTTCCAGTTCTAGATCCCTGAGGAATCGCCACACTGACTTCCACAATGGTTGAACTAGTTGACAGTCCCACCAACAGTGTAAAAGTGTTCCTATTTCTCCACATCCTCTCCAGCACCTGTTGTTTCCTGACTTTTTAATGATTGCCATTCTAACTGGTGTGAGATGGTATCTCATTGTGGTTTTGATTTGCATTTCTCTGATGGCCAGTGATGATGAGCATTTTTTCATGTGTCTTTTGGCTGCATAAATGTCTTCTTTTGAGAAGTGTCTGTTCATATCCTTTGCCCACTTGTTGATGGGGTTGTTTGTTATTTTCTTGTAAATTTGTTTGAGTTCATTGTAGATTCTGGATATTAGCCCTTTGTCAGATGAGTAGGTTGTGAAAATTTTCTCCCATTTTGTAGGTTGCCTGTTCACTCTGATGGTAGTTTCTTTTGCTGTGCAGAAGCTCTTTAGTTTAATGAGATCCCATTCGTCAATTTTGGCTTTTGTTGCCATTGCTTTTGGTGTTTTAGACATGAAGTCCTTGCCCATGCCTATGTCCTGAATGGTAATGCCTAGGTTTTCTTCTAGGGTTTTTATGGTTTTAGGTCTAACATGTAAGTCTTTAATCCAACTTGAATTAATTTTTGTATAAGACGTAAGGAAGGGATCCAGTTTCAGCTTTCTACATATGGCTAGCCAGTTTTCCCAGCACCACTTATTAAATAGGGAATCCTTTCCCCATTGGTTGTTTTTGTCAGGTTTGTCAAAGATCAGATAGTTGTAGATGTGTGGTATTACTTATGAGGGCTCTGTTCTGTTCCATTGATCTATATCTCTGTTTTGGTACCAGTACCATGCTGTTTTGGTTACTGTAGCCTTGTAGTATAGTTTGAAGTCAGGTAGCATGATGCCTCCAGCTTTGTTCTTTTGGCTTAGGATTGACTTGGCAATGCGGGCTCTTTTTTGGTTCCACATGAACTTTAAAGTAGTTTTTTTCCAATTCTGTGAAGAAAGTCATTGGTAGCTTGATGAGGATGGCATTGAATCTCTAAATTACTTTGGGTAGTATGGTCATTTTCACGATATTGATTCTTCCTACCCATGAGTATGGAATGTTCTTCCATTTCTTGGTATCCTCTTTTATTTCCTTGAGCAGTGGTTTGTAGTTCTTCTTGAAGAGGTCCTTCACGTCCCTTGTAAGTTGGATTCCTAGGTATTTTATTCTCTTTGAAGCAATTGTGAATGGGAGTTCACTCATGATTTCGCTCTGTTTGTCTGTTATTGGTGTATAAGAATGCTTGTGATTTTTGTACACTGATTTTGTATCCTGAGACTTTGCTGAAGTTGCTTATCAGCTTAAGGAGATTTTGGGCTGAGACAATGGGGTTTTCTAGATATACAATCATGTCATCTGCAAACAGGGACAATTGGACTTCCTCTTTTCCTAATTGAATACCTTATATTTCCTTCTCCTGCCTAATTGCCCTGGCCAGAACTTCCAACACTATGTTGAATAGGAGTGGCGAGAGAGGGCATCCCTGTCTTGTGCCAGTTTTCAAAGGGAATGCTTCCAGTTTTTGCCCATTCAGTATGATATTGGCTGTGGGGTTTGTCACAGATAGCTCTTATTATTTTGAGATACGTCCCATCAATACCTAATTTATTGAGAGTTTTTAGCATGAAGGGTTGTTGAATTTTGTCAAAGGCCTTTTCTGCATCTATTGAGATAATCATGTGGTTTTTGTCTTTGGTTCTGTTTATATGCTGGATTACATTTATTGATTTGCGTATATTGAACCAGTCTTGCATCCCAGGGATGAAGCCCACTTGATCATGGTGGATAAGCTTTTTGATGTGCTGCTGGATTCGGTTTGCCAGTATTTTATTGAGGATTTTTGCATCAATGTTCATCAAGGATATTGGTCTAAAATTCTCTTTTTTGGTTGTGTCTCTGCCAGGCTTTGGTATCAGGATGATGCTGGCCTCATAAAATGAGTTAGGGAGGATTCCCTCTTTTTCTATTGATTGGAATAGCTTCAGAAGGAATGGTACCAGTTCCTCCTTGTACCTCTGGTAGAATTCGGCTGTGAATCCATCTGGTCCTGGACTCTTTTTGGTTGGTAAGCTATTGATTATTGCCACAATTTCAGATTCTGTTACTGGTCTATTCAGAGATTCAACTTCTTCCTGGTTTAGTCTTGGGAGAGTGTATGTGTCAAGGAATTTATCCATTTCTTCTAGATTTTCTAGTTTATTCGTGTAGAGGTGTTTATAGTATTCTCTGATGGTAGTTTGTATTCCTGTGGGATTGGCAGTGATATCCCCTTTATCATTTTTTATTGCATCTATTTGATTCTTCTCTCTTTTTTTCTTTATTAGTCTTGCTAGCGGTCTATCAATTTTGTTGATCCTTTCAAAAAACCAGCTCCTGGATTCATTAATTTTTTGAAAGGTTTTTTTGGTCTCTATTTCCTTCAGTTCTGCTCTGATTTTAGTTATTTCTTGCCTTCTTCTGGCTTTTGAATGTGTTTGCTCTTGCTTTTCTAGTTCTTTTAATTGTGATGTTAGGGTGTCAATTTTGGATCTTTCCTGCTTTCTCTTGTGGGCATTTAGTGCTATAAATTTCCCTCTACACACTGCTTTAAATGTGTCCCAGAGATTCTGGTATGTTGTGTCTTTGTTCTCGTTGGTTTCCAAGAACATCTTTATTTCTGCCTTCATTTTGTTATGTACCCAGTAGTCATTCAGGAGCAGGCTGTCAGTTTCCATGTAGTTGAGCGGTTTTGAGTGAGTTTCTTAATCCTGAGTTCTAGTTTGATTGCACTGTGGTCTGAGAGACAGTTTGTTATAATTTCTGTTCTTTTACATTTGCTGAGGAGTGCTTTACTTCCAAGTATGTGGTCAGTTTTGGAATAGGTGTGGTGTGGTGCTGAAAAAAATGTATATTCTGTTGATTTGGGGTGGAGAGTTCTGTAGATGTCTATTAGGTCTGCTTGGTGCAGAGCTGAGTTCAATTCCTGGGTATCCTTGTTAACTTTCTGTCTCGTTGATCTGTCTAATGTTGACAGTGGGGTGTTAAAGCCTCCCATTATTATTGGGTGGGAGTCTAAGTCTCTTTGTAGGTCACTAAGGACTTGCTTTACGAATCTGGGTGCTCCTGTATTGGGTGCCTATATATTTAGGATAGTTAGCTCTTCCTGTTGAATTGATCCCTTTACCATTATGCAATGGCCTTCTTTGTCTCTTTTGATTTTTGTTGGTTTAAAGTCTGTTTTATCAGAGACTAGGATTGCAATCCCTGACTTTTTTTATTTTCCATTTGCTTGGTAGATCTTCCTCCATCCTTTTATTTTGAGCCTATGTGTGTCTCTGCATGTGTGATGGGTTTCCTGAATACAGCACACTGATGGGTCTTGACTCTTTATCCAATTTGCCAGTCTGTGTCTTTTAATTGGAGGATTCAGTCCGTTTACATTTAAAGTTAATATTGTTATGTGTGAATTTGATCCTGTCATTATGATGTTAGCTGGTTATTTTGCTTGTTAGTTGATGCAGTTTCTTCCTAGTCTCGATGGTCTTTACATTTTGGCATGATTTTGCAGCGGCTGGTACTGATTGTTCCTTTCCATGTTTAGTGCTTCCTTCAGGAGCTCTTTTAGGGCAGGCCTGTTGGTGACAAAATCTCTCAGCACTTGCTTGTCTGTAAAGTATTTTATTTATCCTTCACTTATGAAGCTTAGTTTGGCTGGATATGAAATTCTGGTTTGAAAATTCTTTTCTTTAAGAATGTTGAATATTGGCCCCCACTCTCTTTTGGCTTGTAGAGTTTCTGCTGAGAGATCTGCTGTTAGTCTGATGGGCTTCCCTTTGTGGGTAACCGGACCTTTCTCTCTGGCTGCCCTTAACATTTTTTCCTTCAGTTCAACTTTGGTGAATCTGATAATTATGTGTCTTGGAGTTGCTCTTCTCGAGGAGTAGCTTTGTGGCATTCTCTGTATTTCCTGAATCTGAATGTTGGCCTGCCTTGCTAGATTGGGGAAGTTGTCCTGGATAATATCCTGCAGAGTGTTTTCCAACTTGGTTCCATTCTCCCAGTCACTTTCAGGTACACCAATCAGATGCAGATTTGGTCTTTTCACATACTCCCATATTTCTTGGAGGCTTTGTTCATTTCTTTTTATTCTTTTTTCTCTAAACTTCCCTTCTTGCTTCATTTCATTCATTTCATCTTCCATCACTGATACCCTTTCTTCCAGTTGATCGCGTCGGCTCCTGAGGCTTCTACATTCTTCATGCAGTTCTCGAGCCTTGGCTTTCGGCTCCATCAGCTCCTTTAAGCACTTCTCTGTATTGGTTAGTCTAGTTATCCATTCGTCTAAATTTTTTCCAAGTTTTCAACTTCTTTGCCTTTGGTTTGAATTTCCTCCTGTAGCTCGGAGTAGTTTGATCGTCTGAAGCCTTCTCTCAACTCGTCAAAGTCATTCTCCATCCAGCTTTGTTCCGTTGCTGGTGAGGAACTGCATTCCTTTGGAGGAGGAGAGGCGCTCTGCTTTTTACAGTTTCTAGTTTTTCTGCTTTGTTTTTTCCCCATCTTTGTGGTTTTATCTACTTTTGGTCTTTGATGCTGGTGATGTACAGATGGGTTTTTGGTGTGGATGTCCTTTCTGTTTGTTAGTTTTCCTTCTAACAGACAGGACCCTCTGTTGCAGGTCTGTTGGAGTTTGCTAGAGGTCCACTCCAGACCCTGTTTGCCTGGGTATCAGCAGCGGTGTCTGCAGAACCGCGGATTTTCATGAACTGCGAATGCTGCTGTCTGATGGTTCCTCTGGAAGTTTTGTCTCAGAGGAGTGCCCGGCCGTGCGAGGTGTCAGTCTGCCCCTACTGGGGGGTGCCTCCCAGTTAGGCTGCTCGGGGGTCAGGGGTCAGGGACCCACTTGAGGAGGCAGTCTGCCCGTTCTCAGATCTCCAGCTGCGTGCTGGGAGAACCACTGCTCTCTTCAAAGCTGTCAGATAGGGACATTTAAGTCTGCAGAGGTTACTGCTGTCTTTTTGTTTGTGTGTGCCCTGCCCCCAGAGGTGGAGCCTACAGAGGCAGGCAGGCCTCCTTGAGCTGTGGTGGGCTCCACCCAGTTCGAGCTTCCCAGCTGCTTTGTTTACCTAAGGGAGCCTGGGCAATGGCGGGCGCCCCTCCCCCAGCCTCACTGCCACCTTGCAGTTTGATCTCAGACTGCTGTGTTAGCAATCAGCGAGCCTCCGTGGGCATAGGACCCTCCGAGCCAGGTGCGGGATATAATCTCCTGGTGGGCCATTTCCTAAGCCCGTAGGGAAAGCGCAGTATTTGGGTGGGAGTGACCCGATTTTCCAGCTGCCATCTGTCACCCCTTTCCTTGACCAGGAAAGGGAATTCCCTGACCCCTTGCGCTTCCCGAGTGAGGCAATGCCTCGTCCTGCTTCGGCTCGTGCATGGAGCGCTGCACCCACTGTCCTGCTCCCACTGTCTGGCACTCCCTAGTGAGATGAACCCGGTACCTCAGATGGAAATGCAGAAATCACCCGTCTTCTGCATCGCTCACACTAGGAGCTGTAGACCGGGGCTGTTCCTATTCAGCCATCTTGCGGAAACTCTCAGGTGTTTTTATTTTCTTTCTTTTTTTTTTTTTTGTAATATCTTTTTTTTTTAATTTCATTATTATTATATTTTAAGTTTTAGGGTATATGTGCACAATGTTCTCATTCATAGGTGGGAATTGAACAATGAGAACACATGGACACAGGAAGGTGTTTTTATTTTCAAAGTAAAAAGCTAAACTTAAGTTATCATTGTATTATGTTACACAATCCCATAATTTGTAACCATAACAAGGGGGTGGAGGTTACAGCCATTTATGTGTGAGCAGAAGCCACGGAAAATGGGTAAAGCCAGATTGCCATGTCTTTGTCATTCAAATTTCAGTGTCATCAATAAAGACACAGGACTTTCTTCTTTATGCACATTAAATTATCTAAGCTATGCTACTCTATCTTCTTCTTATGCAGGATGATCTAGAATTTTTAGAAAGATCATTGCTTTGAGGCCTAATTTGGTTCTTGAAGCTAATAAATTTTTTCACATTTCCATTTAGCATACATTTAAGAATTTTAAATCTTTCAACAATAATTTACCCAAAACATTTCTCCACATTAAATGGATAATGAACATAGAGGATTAGTTTGTTCAAAGTTACAGGTCTTCAAGAACTATTTTCATGCCACAAGTGTGAAAGTTCCATTGGTCTATCTAACTGTTCTAGCATTAGTGGCAATCAATACAGATGAACTGTTTTGTGCAACATACTGAATGCTTTATTTTGAAATATGACAACTCTTCCCGGGTGTATTCATATTCTGGTTACCTCAAATTACTCTTGAATTTCAAAATACTGTCCTGTCTAAGGCTATTAAGTGCCAATAAACATTAACATTATCCAGTTGAAGGAAGCTATCTTTCAGTGACGCGTGAAAATTGTTTCCAACCTCTGCTTAGGAAATTCTTTGGAGTGGAAAGTATAAGCCATTATTATTCCTTACACTATAATGCTTTTACTTTGCAATTTAACCTTGAAAAAATAACATATATATTCTATGATCAAAAATAAAACAGAAGCTTAGTAAGTAAATAATGCATAATATAAAGTTAGAGAAACAGGCCATTTTCCCCTTTCTCTCCTAAATCTTTCACTGCTCTTAAGAGATAGTAGAGCAAAGTGGTTAGATGTGTGAGCTCGGGATCCACTGCCAATCTTGCCTGCAGTACCTTGACTCATTTGGTGTGTGACCTCAGGTAAGTTACTCAACTTCTCTTAGTTTCCTTTCCACAATAGTACTTATTTCAGACTATGGCTGTGAAAATTATACAAAATCCTACATGATAAGCACTTAGAAGAGTGTTTAATATGCAGTAGGTGTTTAATAAATCTTAGCTATCAATATAATTACAAGAACCAGATACCTTTTCTTATTAAACACTTATAGAAAATGCACTATCAAAGTATCATGTACTTTTAACTACTACTCACAAGTTACTATTATGTTATAAATGATTTTATGTGATAGTCTATCTATTAAAAAAAACTGTTAGATAATGTGGATATAATTTTAGTTATTTAAGTCAAGGTCTTTGGCAAGTTACTCCAGACTTCATTTCTCTTCATTTCTTTTTGTAACCAATTTATTACCTTTGAGATGTAAGGGAGAAATGCACACACAGACACACACACGCAATATATGACAGGTTCACGTTATTTGTGAGATGTTTTAAGGAGCTGATGAATTAATTATAAATTTATTTGACTTTGTTAGTTATACTTTACATATATAGGACCATTTTTGGTTGGTCATAATTGGCTTATAATCAAGACTTATCAAAGATAACCAAAGAATATCTTTGATAAGTCTTATGTGAAATAATAAACATAATGATAAATTGATAGAAATATACCCCCCTCTTCCATCCATTTACTTATTTATCTGTATTTCTGGAACACATTTTTTGAGAATCTTTGGGGAGGAAAAAAGCTTTCATTATATAGCAGATATACTTAATGTACAGTTGAAAAATCAAACAAATTTCAAACTCATTTTTTTAATGTCCACTTTTTAGATGTTCTGTTGGCAATAAAGAAAATATATTTATTTCTTAAAAGATTACTGAGATATTATTTGGATTTTTCTCTTAAAATAATTAAATTTCTTATGTAAGAAAAGTTAACAGGGAAGTGACCTATTGGGCCTTATGATATTTAAAGAAATAAAAAAAAAAAGCACCGTTATGCCTCAAAAGGTCAAATGTGATCAGACACTCTGTTTATTATTCATAATGGGAGAGTTAAAATTTAAATCAAAACAGGGAATGAAATGTTAATGAGTGCTTATACATTCACACTAATCATTGATTACAGAAGGAGGGTTTGAAGTCTGAAACACAAATTTAGTGCCCATTATTTTTATTTATTTTAAAGAAAATAATAGATTAATTCCAGAGACTGCACAGCATTGTACCTGACAGCTATACATAAAAATACAGCACTCAAACATGGACTGGCACTTCAATATAATTAACCAAAAATGAACTTGAATACTTATAGTAGTGATGGATTTTTAACTAGAATGATGATCTTATCTCACGCTCACGAGTATTAGTGGACAGGAACCTGAGGCACAGGGCAGACCCACCAGAAGTGCCCAGAGTTAAGGTAGATATAATTTGTTTTGACTTTATACTTCAGAGTATAACACCTAGCAGCAATGACAGGATGTAGCCAGAGGGCACTTGCAAACTGTCTGAAAGATAGAGCCAAAGCTTCAAAACAGAAGACGCCATATATGCCATGAGTCAAAGGAGCAATGTGGGGGTCAAGAAAAGAAGATAAAGCCAAAAGTCATGAGTCTGAAAAAAAAAGCAGGGTTGAAGAAGGAGGTGAAGAAGAAAAGAGGGAACTAGAGAGGGCGGGGTCACTAGTTGGTGCTCTGAGAGGAACATACTACCCAGAGAGTTTGAAAATCAATGTAACTAACCAAGCAAATGTGAAGTATGATCACACATCAAGTTTGATTTATGGTGCGCATCATAAGTTTTGTTAACTGTCACTCCTTGAAGGCATTTGAGTTTACAACCCCTGGGGACAGTGCTTAATAAAAGATTAGAATGTCTAAGGTTATTTTCAATCGAAAGTCAATGGCTTGTTTCATGTATGTCTGGCTCTTGTTTAAAGGACAGCTTAGGGATTAGGACAAGGAAAGATCTGTCTACATTCATTAGAATCATTTGGAATGTTTCAATTGTCAATAAATGATGAATAAAAGAAAAATAATGTCTTGTGAAAAAAAGTGATTGTAAGATGTTTGTGTTACATTTTTTAACATGTAAGATTGTCATGATGCAAACATGAGAAAATAGATATAAAAGGAAAATACTGGAAGAAAAAGGCCCTGTACAAATGTAGGCCATGGCAATAATTGTCTTTTTTGCATTATTTTGCACTGAGATGGGAAGATATTTAAAGTTTTGATACAATCTTTTAAATCAAAGATGAAAAATTAAAATAATTTTTTTAAAACATAAAATGTTTACAGTAGATTTTTCCACTTTCTTTAGATGCTTGTAATACATAAAGTGCTTCCTGATTTAGGGAAGCAGTGAAGAATAAAAGGGGTAGTCTCAATTTTTATAAAGAAGCTAATTACCTGACTTACCTGCTCTGTTTAATCTCTACTGTAATAACCTAGATAATTAATATAAGTAGGTGGATGTTGCTGCTATTTGCCCAGCTGCCAACTGTACAAATGCCAATGTGTAGTGTACTTCAGTCTCTTCCCATTTCTCATCAGGGCTGAAAGTAATTTAAATTGGTTCTACCGCTGATAAATAGTATTCTATGCTATTTAAAGATATTACACAAAATCATTACAGAGATTCAATATAAAATGATTTTGAGTATAAAGCTTAAACTATGTAATCTCCTTATCATCCTTTTACATTCAACTTTTTTAAAGGGCTTATCTTTGGATACCAAAGGAAAAAAAGAGATTATAATGTTTTTATTTTCCAAACTGATGTGAGAAGAGGATTGTGCCCATCAGGCAACACTGTCCTGGTATAAAAGATAGGATATCTACAAATTGGTTAGATGGCTGTGGTATAAGCAAAAACAAAGCAGGTGGCATAATCATGAAGAAATGGTTGGGATTTTGCTCAGACAAAAGTTTATTTTCCTCTCTAGGGTAAAATATTCAACAACAATTAGTCCTAAAATTAGAAAAAAATTGTGGGAATAAATTATAATTGCACAGAATGATCAATGATGGCAAATGTGAAACAGTTAATATTTGTGTAGCACAGGGTGAAAGTACAAATGGAAGCTGGCATGCCACGTTTCTAAATATTTAAGTCAAACTATCAAATTTTAAAGTAAAATACATTTTTGAATTGTAGCTGCATGATATCCTTTTCTTTCCACTTTTAGCTCTTTTCTGCCCATGGGGGTTCTTGCCCACATGCACGTGACATGCTGTACATGTCCACACTCCATCGACACCCCCACAAACAGCTATTCCCTTGGCCACCCTTGGATGTATGGAGTTACATCTGTGGTGGGGGGGTTCCCCCTTGGAGAATGTAATGGGGACAAGTGATCCATTGGCCCAGAAAATGGGGTCAGGGGAGTTTGAGCAGGGAATTATGGGGTCTGGACACCTGGGGAATGATCTAGAAGAGGGGCACAGGCTCCTGCTGGATCTATCCCCTTGACTCTATAAACTCCTCAACTGGTAGTGAGGGGAGCAGCAAAAAGAAGGTCAGAAAGGGGACTTGAAATAGCAGGATGTAGAACAGATACCTTCATTGCTTGTGTTTAAGAATGCTCTGGTTTATTATATTTTTTTATTTTATCATTATTATTTTTTGAGACAGAGTCTTGCTCTGTCACCCAGGCTGGAGTGCAGTGGCGGGATGTTGGCTCACTGCAACCTCTGCCTCCTGGGTTCAGGCAATTCTCCTGCCTCAGCCTCCAAGTATCTGGGACTACAGTCATATGCCACCATGCCTGGCAAAATTTTTTTTTTTGTATTTTTGGTAGAGACAGGGTTTCAGCATGTTGGTCAGGCCAGTCTTGAACTCCTGACCTCAAATGATCCACCCACCTCAGTCTCCCAAAGTTTTGGGATTACATGTGTGAGCCACTGCGCCCAACCTGGTTCATTTTAATAAGTGATAATATATATAGTGTTGTTCTACTTACATTTAACTTTCATGTTTCTAATCTCATTGACTTTTGACAAACATCCCTGTGAGGTAGATAGAAATTATCACCATAATTTCATAGACGGGGAAACTGAGTTGTAGAGGGGCTAAATGATGTACTAAGGCCTCACAATTAGTATAAAGCAGTGGCAGAGCTCACACCCAGGTACTCCCAGTGTGGGATCCCTTCCATTGTACCTGGGCAGGGGCTGATCAAGTTTGCAACAGGCTTCTATACCAGACAGTCAATGCAGTGCTCATGTCCCAAGACTTTTGAATGCTCAAAATGGGGAAAAAACCCTTTTGGGTAACACTTACTTAACTTTCTCAGGCTGAAATGATTAAGGGAAATCCCTCCATTTACACCAAGGGCCTAGGTCAAAAGTTTGCATCAAACCCTTCTCTTTAGTGCATAGTATTTTAGAACGTCACTCTGCTCAGAGTGCTTTCTGCCACAGCGAAACATGACGAGGCACTCTGAAACTGGTTCTGTCAGACCCTTTTCCAGCAGTCTTAGGATCTTCTCTATTAAAATAGGACAGTTTCAAATTTGGGGTGTATTGCTTAGCTACTTTGATTCCCCCTCCCCACGTTTCTATGGCAAAAGTAGAAACAAACCCAAACTAACTATTCCTGTCTTATTGACCCATCTCAGAACCTGATACTGATATAGTCCTATGTACACATATAGAATGTTTGATCATAAAGCAAACGCACACTGGGCTGCCTTCATCAAAGTCTGGTCTTCCCGAAAGAATCAGATTCTTGCTAATTTGTTTACAGTGTTTGCTCTTGTGGCATGGTCCCACTGGATGGACTCAGTGATTTTCAAATGAGATTAGTAGTGGGTTCTTTTTTAAAATAAATCTATGTGGAAAACAACCATGTCACTAACAAAGACAACTAGATTTGTTTTGGAAGAAACAAGGGGATGAAATGCCTAGGCTACTTGCCTAGAACTCAAAGTAGTCAGCCTTCCCCTTACCTCTAGGGGCAGACACTGATGCACCGTAGGACCCCTCTAAACACTGTGTGAAAGTATCAGTGTAGCCCATTTATTCCATAGGCAAGTAATTCAGCTTCGAGACATTCAAAGTTTTGTTTTGATAAATCATTGATGTAGGTATATCTAAATCTAGGCTTATAAATCCAAGTTAAAATGTCAAGATCTTGTATGAGATGTGAATAGGCTTTGGTGATGATTTCTATTTGGTCATGGTTGCTATTCTCTTTATCAGTATATTAGAAAAAAATATGACTTTTGCTTCTTTCTCTTGGGTCTTTGTTATTGGATAGGAAGCAATTATATCCCAAGAGATATAAATTTATTACAGGATTTCAGTTTTCTTAAGTTTAGCTTACTGCACCTTGAGTTTCAGGGTGCATAGAAATGATCTTTGACATGAACAGATATGAATGAAAAGATGTAAAAAACCATATTATCATTCGTTCCAATAAACAATTGTTCTAAACTGTACCTAGTGCAAAGAAAGAATCCTTTAAGATATAACTGCTGTAAAAGTGAAAAATTATGCTTTTTGCCATACTTTACTAGTATCTATGTGTAGACTTTATATGCTCCTACACATACATAATCCCTAGGGTCACATTTTGCCACTAATTTATCCTGGGAAGTTCATCAAGAAGTTATACTGTTAGAAGTTAGGTATTTCAAGGGTATAGCATTGGAATTTTAAAACAGCCACAAAAGCTGATTAGCAAGTGGTGCTCTGAAAAACGTCCAGGTCCAGATCATCTTCAAATTTTGTAGTAATGATTTTTCTTGTATTCATGTGTGAGAGAGAAGGTGCAGGGTGGGTTGGAGCCCAGTGAGAGGAATGTAGAGTAGAAAGAAAAATTTTGAGGACTGACTTTTTCAAACTGTACCTATATACTGTCTGGAGAAACTGATGTGCAGTTCCCCCATCCATCTCTTTGAAAATTGCTACATGAAATAAAAGATATGTGTTTGGAGTGTGTTGCGTGAATATTATGCAAGGGAATGGGGAGACACATACAAAGTCTAATCTTGAGGTTAAATTGAAATTCAGATAGTTCAAAGACTGAATATATTACAGTGAGTTTCATTAGTTTTTCGCTTTACTGACATTAGTTAACTTCAGTATATCACTAAATTTTTTTTCTGTACATGTAGGAATTTCAGCAGGGTTCCAAAATAAGTCTGGTAGCATATCATTTTAAATGATAATAATAATAAAATGGCCAATATATATTTTTGTACTGTGCATTATGCTAAGAATGGTATTTTAAATATGAAAAGGTAACACATATGTTTGCCACCAGAAATTTCTTGTAGGTTGATTATTTAATGCCTAAGGACATATTTTCTATGCATGATTATAAGGTACAGACATGCAATTCCATCATAAACACAAATTGTCTCATATAGAAAGTATATTTAGAAACATGACCCCACATTAACTCAGAGGCTTCCTGTATGTCTAATACTATTTTTGAATTATTTTCTCATTAGAAAATACTGATAGTGGAAAGGTAGTGTCAATAAAACCTGATGTACTATAATAAAATGCAGTCTCTTATTACAAATTCTCATAGTAAATGCATCAACATTTCACTCATGAGATATCACTTACTAAGCATGCCAAACTATTTTGTACCTACTATAAAACATAATGTTAGCAAAATAAAACCCCAAATGGTCAAAACTGATGCCACGAAGTAACTATCCAAAGCTCATAACTGGGATAGTATCTTCAGTCTAACTGTGAGTAATTTGTTCTTATTTTAGACACATTTTTTACAAAATATTTGTTAAATTTTATAGCACATATCTTTCTCCACAGGAAATTCACTCCCATGCACCTTTAAGATTTACTTCAAAACTCTCTGCTTTAAATTCTTCCATTATCCATTGATGCTGAGCCCTTTTAAGTCCTGTCCTGGCCCATCCTACCTTGCCAAAATCCAGGAACACAAGCCACATTTTCCGGAGAATAAAATCCTAATAATTGCAATTAGCACACACAAATTGTAATTACTTGTTTATATCTCTACTTCTTTCTCACCTGACAACTCTTTGAAGGCTAAGACCATGTTTCATTTATCTCTGAATCCCTAGCATATACACATATACAATGTGACTAACACATTGTATAACCTCAATGCATATTTGCTGAAATAAATTGCATTTGAAATAGCATATTACAGATGGAAATGTTGAAAGGGGAGGTAGCAATAGGAATTATAAAAAGTAAGGGCAAACAGTCTGAATGCAAAAAAAAAGAGAACAACTATGAAAATCAGATAACAGAACTCAAAGTTCATTGAGTGTAGGAGAAAACGGTTATATACATTTCAGTAATCTCTCATGGTATCATAGTCTTAAAGCACATTAAAATAATGCTTTTTCATAGTGATTATTTGGGATTAAAATACTCTGTTTATAAAGACAGAGAAATGTGTAATGCTTGAGTGAAAAGCTTTAGGTATATAAAAAATTATAAAAATTATCTGACAGTAACAGAAAACTAAAATATTACTAAGCTATTGTTGGCCATAGCTAATGCATAACAAGTCATTGTGTCTCAGGTTTGTATGAAGATAAGGAGAAAAATGCTAGTCTTTTAATCACTCAAAGTTTACAGAAACATCTTAAATATAGTAAAGGTGAAAAACATCATTACATTTGATAATCTTGAAAAGAAATACTAGTTCCATAATATGCCACTTCTTTTAAATTTCTTATTAGAAATATTTGGAGTCCATCTCAAGGCACTATGCTGATCCTACACTGCATTACGTTAAATCTTGTTTCACATGGCGAATTTGAACAAAAGAAAAAATCGTTATGTGGCTTAATAAATCCAGTTCCTTGATCTCATCTTTTTCACAGGATAAACACTCCTATAATATTTATATGGGGATGTTACTTTATAAATCTTATGGCTAAAATATTAATCAGTATGTTCACCTAAACTTTGGTAAAGAGTGCTACTTTCATTTTCAGCAAATGGAAGTAACAGTGATATATTTTCAGCATCTTGGTGACAGACAGGATGGTATATCCTGGGACTCTTGACAACTGAAGCCACTGCTCTCCATGAAACCCATCTGCAGACCTCTCTTTTGATAATTTAAGCCCATCAATGACACTTCATGGTAGAATTATGCTTTTTCAAAGGCAGTAAAGATAAGTCTTCTCCATAGGTGGTACCTCCTGGTTATCACTAAGGCCATGAAGAGCACAGATTTTTGGAAAAAAAAAAAAGAGAGAGAGAGAATCTAACAGATATATTGGATACCTGGATGTACTTGGTTAGAGGATTCTTCTACCTAGTAATTATGCCATGCTAGTCTGTCTTTGTCCTTTAAAATCACCCCATTTAAGCACACCATTTCTTTCAAAAAGCCTTCCCTTTTGTTTCCCAGTCTAGTTTAGATCCTCTTTTCTGTTCTCAAAAATCCATGCACACCTCTGACTTAACTCTAACTGTGATATACTGAATTGTCTTATTTATTTCTCTTTTCAATCAGTTGGAATATGCTAAGTGAAGGCAAAAGCCAATTTATTTGTCTTTTTATCTCTAGATCCTAGTAAAGAAGTCATCACATAGTATGTTTTCAATAGATGTTTGTACAATTAATAATTACTGACTGATAAATAAAAAGGTTCTATTTCATTACAAATAAAATTAGAGCACCCGATACCAACCTGAAATTTGACAATCATTTGAAGGAGTGTTGTAATATTTAAAAAGAATTTTATAAAGATTTTGTTTTTTCCTTCTTTCTTACATTAATGTTGTAGGTTCATTTTCTAAAGTAGTTGTGTCTTTCTTAAGGAAGATTCTGGGAACTGTTGTTATGAATTCATCCTAATTATCTGAGAAGCTACTTAGTCTTATTTTTTCATTTTCATATTCATGTAAGATCCAGAGACTTCTCAAATGAGGATATAAGTGACTGAAAGCTTAGGTCAACAATAAAGCAGAAAAACCATATCAACACCATGATCCACTTAAAGTGCCTTACCTTTAGCTATATCCTCTTACTGTCCTCTGAACCTACATTCTAAGTGCCACCATGTAATTAATTCAACAGTGTTTATAGAATGGCTTCCACAGGAAGGCACTGTTCCAGGTGCTTATAATAATTATTGCACTCTTCAAATCGCCCAAATCTAACATAATGACATGCCAAACCCCATCTTCCTCTGAAACTCTTTAGATGCTTAAATACCTCTCTGAAAAATATCACTACCGTAGCATTTATCATATAGAATATTATTTACTTGCCAGTTTTTTCTTTCATTTTGTGAGTTCCTCTAGGGAAGGGATTATGCATATGCTGCATTCTCAGGACCAAATTCAATAAAAGGTGCTTATATATAATATATAAGGTGCTCAAATTTGTTGAATTAATAAAATTGTGTTTAGCACAATAAAACTAGCATGGATTGTTATGCCAGAACAGTGCTGACAATGAAGACATAGCAGATAAAAACTAAAAGGTCATACTTTTAAAAGAAGCATACTATTTCAATAGACATTTACTGATCATCTATTACATTCAAGACATTTTGGGAAATAAAACCTAAACCAGTTATTGTACCTTCCCTTCAGGGGCTTGTGGTCAGTTGAAGATATGCATATAAGTGCTCTACTACTCAACCGATTCTGATAAGAAAAGTGGGGATGAATAAATGCAGAATGAAGTGACTTCCAGGAAGACGTAATATTAGAACCAAATCTTGAAAACTGAGTAAGGTTTCATATGGGTGAGGGAAAGAGATATTTCAGGAAGGAAGTATAAATAGTAAAACACACAGTGACATGTCAGGGTTTTTCTGTTCAGGAACATAGAATGTAACACAAACAAAGGGTGTTAGGTAGAACAAATGTAACCATCATGGCAAATGAAGCCGGAAATTTAAGAGGAGAGACTTCTAAGAAGATACAGAAAATTTGGTATATCCAAGCAACTTAATGAATGTCAACTTATAGCATTTAGAGCAGTCAAAATTGGCTTTTAAAGCACATCATCAGCACCTAACTCAGGTGCGAAGTGTACAAACAAAATAGCAGATTTTGAGGTGATGGAGCACACTGGAAGTGAAGCAGTTTTGACTGTTTTGTGTGAACCAGCTTTGTAAAGAAAATGGAAGACAAATGCATATAAAAGACACATCTTAAAATGAGCTGAATGTAGGCAGGATGAATGAAGTAAAAACACTACCCCACATAAAACAAAACTTTATTTAACAGTAAACAAGAGGTTTAAGGAAGGAGAGTATGAATTAGTAATTTTGGAGAACAACATGAGACAAATACATCAGAATAATATCTTGATAACTTGACCATCTGAGGGACTATATAAATTGCAAAGGAATAAAGCCAAGAGTGCATTTATTGCTTTGTACAGAAATCTCTACCAAACTGACTGAAGATTTAGCTTTCTTGCCAAGTGATGAGAAAACAACTGACATACCTATGGAAGAGCAGAGAATACTGACCATAGTAAACCCAGAAAAGGAATTAAAAATAAAAGACAAGTTGAAACTGGATGGTATGCAATGGGGATCCCCTTTCTTAAGTGTTTAATTAGAATTCATTTCATTAAACCACAGTCATAGAAATTTTCCTAAAAGTAATTCTTCTACTGTTATAAGAAACCCCACACCTACTGTCATGATGATTTTGATAAACACAAATTACTAATCACTTACTTAATACTTGATTTTGTTTCATTTTACTTTCTCTTAAAATCTGTGTTTTAGGTACATTATACCTCTTCTTTTGTTGAATTCTCACAACTCTAACTTACACATTAGGTTCTATCATCCTCATAATACAGATAAGAAAGTTGAGTCTCAGAAGTGCTGAGTTAATGCCCAAGATCTCACAGCTAATAAACGGCAAAGCAAAGGCAGGTCCAGCTGAAATTATGTATACTCCACAGCTTCAAACGTCCCACGTCCAGAATTGATCTCCCAATTTTCACGTCCCTACCCACCCCAAAATATTCTTCCTGTAGGCCTCTTATCTCATTAGATGACAGCTCTACCCTTCTAGTTGTTCAAACCAAGAAACTTGGAGTCATACTTGGCTCTTCTCTTTCAGACTCCACATCCAACATGTTAGCAAATTCTGTCTCAGCTATTCAGAATCAGACCACTTCACATACTTCACATTGCTGCCCTTATGGTCCAAGTCATTGCCATATATCACATGAAACTGTCTGCTTCCACTTTGTCCACTACAGTTTACCATAACAGAGCATCTGCTGTGATCCTTTTAAACCTTCATTCAGATAGCACCATTTCTCTGCTCAAAACTTTGTAGTGCCTTCCTACTCACTCTAAAGCAAAGCCCTGGCACTGGCTATTAAAGTTGTAAATGATCTGGCCCTGGGCCACCTCTTTGACTTCCACTCCTGTGACCCTCCCTCTCTGCTCTCTGCCTGCTTACTGTTCCTTGAGTATGAAATCGTGCTTCTACCTCAGGGCCTTTGCACTGCTGTTCCCTTTGTGTGAAATGCTCTTTTGCAGGCATCTGCATGGCTTGCTCCTTCACCTGTTCAGGTTTCTGCTC
This sequence comes from Homo sapiens, assembly GCF_000001405.40. Classification (NCBI taxonomy): domain Eukaryota; kingdom Metazoa; phylum Chordata; class Mammalia; order Primates; family Hominidae; genus Homo; species Homo sapiens. Next base: position 93,664,066 of record NC_000004.12, on the reverse strand, counting down.
ACATATTAGAGAGTTTATCCTTGACCACTGTATATACATTATTAAGTCCTGATCCACAACTCATTCCACTCATTTTCTCCCTTATCTTATATTGTCCTTTGTAGCACTAGAATCCAGGTTCCATAAAATCCGAATACGTTTGAAAAAAATAATGTTTAAGCCAGGTGATGTATGAGAAAGATGATCCCACATAGCATACACTAAAGCAATCTCCCACATTTTCTCACTGAGATACCCTGGGTAACTACTTTTTATATGATAAGTTTTTCATGTGAATTCACTAATACACTCAAAGTTTTAGAGATTGCCTTCTTGAAATATAGGAATCAGAAAAACTGGAAGAAACGTTTTTCTAGCCAAAAATTCCATAATAACACTGATGATATGTATATCTGGCCCATAGACTGAGGTTTACGTAAATGCTCCTTCCTTCATGAAGCACTGCCTGATCCTTAGAGCCTACACTGTCCGCTACCTCCTTCATATTACAGTAACCCTCTTACTCTGGGGTCATATTCTATTTATACACAAACACACACAGACACACACACATACACACACATAATACATACATATGTATTTTGGACACACAGTGAGTACTGTGGGGAAACTGGCTCTGCTTCAGCTCCCAAAGGTTTGCACCGTTGGTGTGGCTGTGCATTGTTATAGTTGAGCCTGGGCAGCCAAAATGTGACTCTCAAATGGTTTTGGGGGACACATTATTAGATGAGAAATCTTAAGAGGACTCTTCATGAGCACTCAAAATACCTCCATAACTGTATGAATCACTGAAGGGAGGCTGTAGGCACTATGTTCTGCTGTGGGACATGAAGCAGTGAATTTGAAGTTCTCATTGATGATGATATGGCCTTGTTTGCATTCCTCAATTGGCAAGGCCTAGAGAAATTTGGGTTATGATAGCATGAGAGAACCACTGATGGTAAAACTCAGAATTAGAGTTAACATCAAATCAAACCGTTTCAAAGTTTGCCTGGCATTTGTTCCATTTATCTGTGTCTCTCTGTGGCAATATGAGGAAGCACAATGAGTTCGCTTGATACCTGTTTAGGTGCAGAGAGAAACATGCTTGTAAGGGACTTGCCTTCCATTAATGGAGACTGCTTCTTTATTTAGGATTTAAACAAGCTATGTCTTCTCACTTAGTTAAATGAAACATTTCGTGTTTTGTGGGCAGTTTAGCTAGAATCTAATTGTTTTGTTTTCTCAAGGAAAAGCACTCTTCTTCCTTCATGAGGGATTAGTTTGATCTGGTACTATTAGACAAAGAAATTACAGAGACAACATTTTTCTGAGTTAATAGGGTTTAAGTCATTTTTTTATTTTGATAGCCTAATATAAACTCTCATGCTACTACAAACATTGCTCCCAATTTAAAAATGAAGAGATTCACCACTCATCTCTTTTCAAGACAGCTTGAAAACACCCTGCTACCTTTTTCCAATTAGCTTTCTAGCTTTACTGAGTCTGATCAAGAGTTTTGAGCTGTGTCTCTACGTTTATTTATGTTTCAGAGAAATGTTCTCTGGTGCTGTCTTTAGAAGCAGATCAAGATAGAGCTTACTCTATTGCAAAAAAAAGTCACTGAAAATTTCAAAAACTTTTAGGCACTGTTTTAGGTACTGGGCATACCACAGTGAATAAAACAGACTATTGTTTGCATAATATTTGCATAATATTTCTGCATATTATGGGAAGGACACAGGTAAACATAATATTTATAGTGTGCCAGGTGGTGGTGGTGCCATAGAGAACAACAAAGCAGAAAGAGGGATGAAGAGAACCAGAGTTGGCAGGGATGGGCGTGTGCCTTTAAGTAGGTTGGTCAGTGACGGCCGCAGTGAGACGGTGACATTTTAGCAAACACCTGAAAGCAATGCAGGAGTAAGCCATTTAGATATTTGGAAAAAAAAAATCCAAGAGCTTTTTAGGCAGAAGTAAGTAAGGCGGTCTTGAGGCAGGAAGCTGCCTGGGATGTTCCATAAACCTCAGGGAAGCCAGGTAGCTGGAACAGAATGAGCAAGGGTTGGGGGGAATGGAAGAAGTGATGTCAGGAGCCACAGGGAAAGAGCTGGCAAGGCGGGGAGCCCACATGCTGTAGGACCATTGGGATAACTTTGCCTTTGATTCTGAGTTAGAGGGAAAGTCACAGAAGAGCTCTGAGGAGAACCGAGCCATGATCTCACTTACGGTTTATATAATAAGAACCACTCTTGTTGTTTTGTTGATGACACTGTAAGAGAGCCAGAGTGGAAGCAAGGGTGCTGCCATTTGTGCCGACTACACAGCTGATTATCATTATTCATGGTAGTGATAGTCCATAAAATCACTGCAAACACTGAATTCACTGATATTCAATCATTGTTCCTACAAGAAATTCAGGGTTAGGTTTCTGTGAGGCTTCGGTCACTACATTTTCATCAACAGATTAACCCGTAAACTTGTTTTATGCATGTTTCTGTTTATAGAAGGCTTATTTAATATATATTGTGGATGCACAAACATTAAGCTCATGGCAACAGCACTATAATTCAAGTGCGAATGAGCTTATTGAACACACATATTTTCTCCATAAGACACACCACAGCCTTCTTGCACTTAGGAGTATCAGACAGCACTTCAGCACCGTTCAGTGTCATTTTAAAAAGCAAAGTCACCAACTAAAGAAAGCACGAAAATGCAAAAAACATGACACTGAAAAAAGGATACTTGTTTACTGCATGAGAGCTAAAACAAGATGATAGAATATCACCTTGTTTGACCTCAGCTGGAAACTTAAGCATCGAGCAAACTCAAATTTTCACCACTCTGTGCATTTCTGCAAATGACCATGAAAACAATGCAAGAACTGATTTGGAGGTTACAAATTACTTTCAGTGAGTAAGCCAATTCTCAGATGCAGAATCGTGAATAATGAGGATTGACTACTACATTTTGTTGGGATGCAATTCTCCATTTCATTTCTGCATATCTGGGGACAACTTTCATCCTGGACTCTTTTCAAGGATGTTTGTAAAGCCAACACACTTGGGAGATAGTAGTACCTTTCTTCAGGTGCGAGGTCAGTTTTTTGCTTTTTTTTTCCCCCTGTGGATAAGAGAGATAATATCTCCCTCTGGGGCAGTGTTTGGGCAGGTTTTCTAACAGTCTCAGTGTAAGATTGGGGGCTTTCTAAATGCCCTCTGTGAGCAGGATCCATCTGGGCCTGTCTTTGTATTATCTGCATGGGCTCTGGAGACAAGGGGAACTGGTGAAAACATAAGGCTCATGCTGCCTGTGCTATGCATAATAAACTCTTGTTTCTGACCCAGGAGTCTTGAGTCTTCTGTTAGCATCTATGAAACTGTGGCAGGCTAACTTGGTAGATTGCAAGTCATATAAGATCTCAGACTGTCACAATTTTTGACATATTTATAATTTTAAACTTTGATTCTTAAAATATATTTTTAAACTTTTTACTCACATGTTGTGGGGGAGGGAGGCAGATACGCGACTACTGCTCCATTTGATAGAGAGTATTTCTCATATTTCTTTACAGAAGATTCAATCAAAATAATAAGATAAGGCATTTACTCCATAATCATTTCTAATACACAAATGTATATTTGAATTAAATCGTACCTCTCTGACTTCCTTTTTTTCTCATTATGAAATTATAAAAAAGGCTCCTTTTTCTGACTTCAAGCACCTGTAATATAAAACTTCTTTGGGTGACTACATGTATCTGCTGGCATATCAAAATAATATCATTTCAATGTGGTTTCACTTTAAAATGGTATAATTTGAGAAATAACCATAATTTTACATGTATAGGAGCTGTTTTGACTGGGATAGCATTTTAACTGACATTAAAACACTGAGTAAATGTAGCTAGAAATACAGGATACCCGCCACTTTTCACATGCGGATATTCTTTGTTAGAAATAATTCATATGGATAATGTTCTTAAATTCAACTGTAATTATTTAAGTCTTCTTCTATAAAAATTTTTTTTTTAGAAAAGCCTCCAACCCTGCATCAGAAAAAAAAAATCACGAATAGTGCTTTATTTTTGACACTATTATCATACCAATGCTGGTATTCATGTAAAATAATGAGTCATGTGAAAGCAATTTTTTAAAGTAAATTAGAGATTCCATTATGAAAAGAGGGCATTAAAACCTTAATTGAAAATGATATAATACAAAAGGGTCAGATCTTATATCTTGATGAGATTTTCGCTTTAAGAACTAGGTCTCCCATCTTCAGTACTGAGTCCTCTTAACAGTGAAGCTTAATTTAATATTTAAAAGAGACTGAGAAACCAATGGAAATTCCCACTGATGACTCAGCTATGTTTGGGTCTGCAATCTGCCTATTAAACTTTCATTATATCTCTTCTTCCTGATGTCTTATTCTAGTCTGCCAATCATTCACTGCAGGGAAATTTATGGCAGAATGCAAAATCTAAAAAATCTAAAAAAGGGAATATAATCTTCCATTCATCATCCCTTCTTAAGACCTGACATCTATCAAATTAAAATTTTCTCTTTTAATTTCAGAACTTTTTATTTGTCAAATTGAATTTTAACACATTTTTTTAAGTTAAATATAATATGATGAACATAACCAAAAGATGTATGGGAAAGAATACTAGTAATTCGTTGGTGAATATATAATCTGTGTCTCTCAGCCTATACCCACAATGGAGCCAGGTGTGACGACAACTTTATAAACAAGCAGTATTCATCTGGTCCATATGCACCCATAAGTGTGAGACCTCCAGCCTCTGTAAATTTCCTTTCAATTAATTCTGGGAATCACCTGTGCACATTTTACATGCACTTCTGGACTTTGGGATGTCATATGGCCCTTTTACTTCCAGTTTTTGGCACTTTTTTTTTTTGCCTGATTCTAAGACCTTTCAAAACTTGGAAGCCTGGTAAACATGCCTCCTTAACTTAGCTGTTGCTGCCACTGCTGCTAAATTGCTACGCTAGACTGTCTTCCTGGTGACAGGGCTGCTGCTGCTACTGGGCTGGCTCTGCCCTTAAGTCCATTAAGGCCTCCGTTCAAATGCTTGCTCCAGGGCCCTGGAGTCTCCCCAGAAGTGTGGAGAAAAACTTATCCTCTGAGCCATGCTCTGCTAACTGATTACAAAGGTTTGTTAACATGTGCTCTCAAGTTCTTGCACAAATTTTGAGTAAAAATAGTTTTTTCAGTTGCTTCGTTCAGTTTCCCTATATAAAAACTATTCGCTGGAGATTGAACACTATGAAATTCTAAAATTGCTCTTACCCTCTAATAATGGGGGCAAAACTATTCAGCCAAGCATCCTCATCCCTTATGACTCATTCATTCTCTAGAGAACTACTCAGAATCTGAAGGCAATATAATGCTGATGGCTTATTTTGCCAGTCATTGAGACTGGTAATAGTAGAGGGGATGAGAGCATGGACTCTGGAGCCAGACTATAAGGGTTTGAATACCAACTCCATTATATACTGCTCTTGTGATCTTGGGTAAGCTACTTAAGTCACTTAACCTCTGTAATCTCCAGTTTTTTTTATTTGTAAAACACGGTAGTTGCAAGTAACAAGAGGTATATAAAGCTCTTAGAATAGTGCTTGGTGATAGCATGCCTTATATTGACCTTTGCTGTTAAAATTATTTAAATGGTATTATTTCAATATTAAATAAATAAGACCTCTTTATTAATTTCTAAAATTCCTGTAATTTTATACTAACTTCTGTTGATGCTCCAAATATGTCTAATTGTTATCTTTGTCTATTTTTGAAACCTCTTATTCACCCCAGTGTACTGTCATCCTATTTCAATTACCTACCAGCTAAAGTCATTGAAATTAGTCCAACAGGTCAGTCTAAAATGATAGGGTTTATTTTATGCTCTAAGATTGATTAAAAATCCCATTATTATAAATGTTGCCCTAAGATACAAGTGGCAAACATAAAACCTTGTTTTTTGCTTCTGAAAATTCCTATCACTGTTGTTGGAAGAAGGTAAGAGCAATAACCTTTTTGAACAGGATCCCAATGGAAGTAGAAATGAATGGTCCATTTCAGCTCAACACTCATTCTGAAAACGATCCAGGTCACTGACTCAGTACAAATGAAGTTCCTCTCTGTTTCAACTCAATTACTAATGAACATCTTGATTGCCCTCAAAAGCAAATTGGCAGCTGTATTGGGTTCTACAAGAAATTTGTACCTTAGGCAATCTAGCTATAGACTCTGTCCTCAATGTAGCTTGGAGACAGTCCCCCAAGGAGAGGCTTAAGTAGAACATTTTGAGTAAGAACTCAGCCACAGAAAACAAACGAACAAATAGAACTAGTGGTTTGAGTTTGAGTTCTTTGAAGTTGGGGCAGAAGTGACTGGAAGTAGAGGGATCAGTTTTTTGTTTTTTTTTTCCTCCTACATCTACGCTTGAGCCTTTGGTGCACAGGTATGAATCAAAGAGTGTAGTATTACTTGGTTTTTTGTTTGCTTGTTTTTATGTGTGTGCATGTGTGCATGTTTTTATCCAGGATGACATTACGATAAAAAGATTTATGTCCCATCAAATCGAATAGTTCCATGATAGAGTATTTAAAGTAGAGAAAAATTTTAGGATTTGGTGGGAGCTCCTCTGTATCTCCGAAGCTCTATAACAGTGGTTCATTTAGTCAATCTACAGTTTAATTTCAGTATTCACTCCTTATTTGTTAAAATATGTACAGTATCCTAAGTATTACATATGATATACAATATTCTAAATACATTAAAGTATTATAATTATTAAGATAAAGTGAGTTTCTACCAATATACAAATACTTAAGAAGTAGAAGCAGAGATTTATAAAGAAATACTGTGTGAAAAGAAATAAAAATATGAATAAAATATCATCTGAAGGTAGGGCTAGCTAATGAATTTCTTATTCTTAAATAGATGTTATCAATGTATATTATCCTAGGTAGAGTTACTAAAATGCCAGACTTTCTATATATACCAAAGGCCCAGAACATACCAACTGATAACACATTGACACCTTTTCCCTCTAGGGCAGTAAACCATCTTATCACACTGTTAAAACTACCTGAAAAAACAAACTCATGTGAGCTTGTCTGAAATTGTGGATACTGTTAAAAAGTCTCAAGAAAAAATTGAACCTCTTATGGAAAATTCAATTGAAATGACAGCTGGAATTATTTGTTTTTTTTTTTTTTTTTTTTTTTTTTTTGAGGCAGAGTCTCGCTCTGTCACCCAGGCTGAAGTGCAGTGGCGCAATCTCGGCTCACGGCAAGCTCTGCCTCCCGGGTTCACGGCATTCTCCTGCCTCAGCCTCCCGAGTAGCTGGGACTACAGGTGCCCGCCACCATGCCTGGCTAATTTTTTGTATTTTTAGTAGAGACGGGGTTTCACCGTGTTAGCCAGGATGGTCTCGATCTGCTGACCTCGTGATCCGTCTGCCTCAGCCTCCCAAAGTGCTGGGATTACAGACGTGAGCCACCGCGCTCGGCCTATTTGTCTTATTTGATATAGGTATTTACATGTTGATGAATAGGCTAAATTTACTTTATTTAGTAACAGACATAATCATCTGTAGTAGATCTAAGCTGACAATAATTTTTCAAAAATAGCAAATAGGTTAATTAATACAAACAAATTACCTAATATATTTTAGAGCTTTTCTTGTCCCCCAATCTTTACACTTTATGGTACTTATTATTCTCAATGCCCCCATAGACTGTGGAATACAATTAAGGTTGAAAATATTTATTTAATATTTAAATAGTTCCCACTTAGACAAAATACATTTATCTGTTCTAATACATTAAATAGAAACAATTTAGTAGAATGACTACTGACTCCAGTAAACAATTATTTTTTTCTCAGAAAAAATAATTGACTCCTAGAATCAATTATTTTTATTATTATCAAATAAAATGGATATTTTAATAAAATTGTTAATGTTTTAAACTTGCCTTGATGTACTGAAGATACATTTATATATATATAATGTTTTTATGATATATATTGCATAACTTTTGAGTTCTTTTAAGTATCTCAGCATTTTAATATTCAACAAGGTATTGCTTTTAATATAAAACTTGTTTACAAATTTGAAAACTATGCTAATGAAGGTATTTTTTAAATTAAAAAAATGCTTTCTGAATCCCATTGGTGTATATATCACTGTAATGACTTTTCTGAGTGTACATCTAGAGTTATGCTATTAGTCATATGGTACATAAAGAATCAATATGCATCAAAAAGCCATTAATATTTGTAAGAAGTTCCAAGACAATGAGTAGGTGAGACAATGAGGGATTTAGAACAATTTAAACTTCCTAAAGCTTTCCAAAAGTAATTTTAATATTTTGTTATAAAGATTCAAACAGAAATAAAAGAGTCATCCTTAATTTGGGGTCTTAATAACATTCAGATTAAACACAACATCTTTAGAAAGAATTAAATCTTATTTCTAGAAATAGAGTAAGCAAGTAGATGACCTATCTTTCGGCTTTTACAATTTTCTTACTTTATAATTTCTTCCAGTTTTGATAATTACTCTTCATCATAACTTTCTTTTTTTAAAAAAAGAAATGATTTTCCAAACAGTGGATCTGTTAGAGATTTTTCATGTCCAGCATAATTTCTTGAATATTACTTTAGGAAAATATGTGGAGAAACATATGAAGTGAAGCAAATTCATAAAGTTATATAATTGCCCCAAAGACAAGAGCAACACAGCTTAGATTTTTCTGTTCTACTGATCTGTGGCATTAATAAAAATGTTTTAGATTTTTGTATTTTATAATTTACTTTTGATAAGAGGTTTGAAAACTAATTATTATGTCTTATTTAATTTTCTTATCTTATGCTTTATGCAAGTCTTGAAATTTGAGGAATCCTAAGGAAGGGCCATCCCTATCGGCAGAGAAATTCCCTGATTCCCAAGTGGATTTCTATGGTACTTATATGGTGTTCAGTTCTGAAGTATGGGTAAGATCAAAAGGTAGAGAAAAGAGCAGCCAAATGGGGCACAGGTCTTTTCAGATTACATGCTCAGTAGTTTATCAAGAATGATAAAGGATCTGGATTTCTAATTAGTTCCTCATAGTTTTTATTATTTTTGGTCAAAGCATGTGTTTTTATTGTTGTTCAGTAGGAGATTTCATGCTAAAATTTCTCTCAATGACAGCATCCATTAGCAGAGTCTACTTAAATCCCTGGTTACTGGAAAGGAAGTATGTGATACTCACTTACTCACTGACACTGGGGCAGTGGAATTTTCTCATTCGGCTCCTTATCATTTTCAAAAAATTCCAATCCTTTTTATGAATGGGTTTTTGGGTTCTATATGTCTATTTTGTAATCCTACATTTTGTTGGCCTTTTAAAGCATCCATTTATATGCATTTATTCTATTTTTATTCTCTTGTATCTATTGTTTTATTAGGCAGTTTCAATATTCTGGTACTACATAAGTTTTTTTTCCCCTTACTCAGGCACTATAGTCTGTAATAATAGCAATCAAGGCAGTTCATTCTGACAAATATGTGTCAGAAAAAGCCTGCTGTGACTTTGAAATATTGCAAGTGACTGACAACATAATGTGTGAAGCAGAATAAATGCATACAAATGGAAGTTTTAGCTGAGCAGTCAAAGTATGAACTAAATACAGCATCAGAACTCGGCCCTGAAAGCTCTTAGTGCCAGTGGTTACAATGGCAAATTACTAAATGCACTCTGCAAAGTGTTTTATGAATAAAGCAGGGGCCAGAGTTTTATCATTTCTCTTTGTGCCTGGGCTTCTATTGGAAGCAAAATGAAGTGATGTTCCCTTGAAAATTTCCTGGTATAGAAAGTCACACATGGTTTAAGAAGATAAATGCAGTAAAGCGTAGTTGGGAAATATGATGAGAGAGAGAAAATGATCGTGGATATGAAAAGGCTGGCCACTAGACAGACAGACATCTGGGCTACAATAAGTCCACTTATTAAGAAACACCCAGGAAATAAAAGAAAAACCTTGACTGGCAATTTGCTGAAATCTATCTTTATTGTTGAAAAGCTTACTGACATTTAAAATGGAGTGCTTTGAAGAAAAGGATAATAAAAATAAATCCTTCTAATATTTGAACATTTCATAGATGGCAAATAAAGTTTTCCCATGTGTGAGACTCACTGACTTTATATACTTCTTGCTAACTCCTGCTTGTCCAAAGGTAGAGCTCCTAAGAAAATCAGACACGCTGACTATGTATACTTTCCAGCAGAGATTATACTCTCATCTCAGAGAGTAACCACATCTTTCATGCACTAAAAGTAGGTTGTTGAGACAAAGAGATTGACTAAACAGTCAAACTAGTGGGTGGTAAAAATCTCTTTTCTTTCCCCCCATTTCCACTCCTTCCTCTACTCCTCCTTTCCTAATCTTTTCTCTTAGCTAACTACATTTAGAAGGCAGTTTATTCTTCTTCAGGGACGTCAAGGCTGGAGATGCAAGTTAAGAGGGTTTGTGAATGTTGTGTTGGCAATTTTCACACATACAAAATAGCACACTTCTGGGAAGTGTTTAAATATAGGTATTATAGAATGTGCCTCAATCCATGTTCTTCTTAGAAGTGTGAATTAATTTAGCATTCTCGGGTTTCAGAGTTCAAGAGTAAAAGCCTGAGATACACTGGAGTTGGCAGGTGCCTTAGGAGAAGTTGCCAAATATATTAACTAATAAAAACGGAATTTGCCTTCTCTTACAAATATGGCTATTATGAGAAGACTAAGCACTGGGGTGGAAATGTGACAGCGTGGAGGAGACTCAGAGATTGTTCTAACAACTTTGTTCTCACATTGTTCCTTTATTATAACTCAAATTTACGTTTCCAAACTTTTTCCCCCCATTTTCACTGTATTTTAGGTTGGTATCATCTCTCATCTAGATTAAATTTCTGACTGGTCTCCCAGCTTCAAAGAGTCTTGCTCTCAGACAACTAATAATCAACACTGCAGCCAGAGTGACTTTTATAAAATGTAAGCTTTTTATGTTCAATCTCACTTAAAAACCTCTGGTGGCATCCCTTCATGCTCAGGATTGAGTCTGAACTCTGGCCAGGCATCTCAGGCCCTTCTCAATGAAGCTAAGAAGTCCCCATGTCCTTTGTGTATCTTCCCAGGCTCATTTGCTGCCACTTCCTGATTAATATTCCTGATTAATACTCCATTCGAAGTGGTGTCTCTTTTGTTCCAGTTCATTTTTTTTTTTTTTTTTTTTTTTTTTTTAGCATTTACTGCATTTACTGTCATTCATCGACTGTATTAATTTGCCAGGGCTGCCATAACCAAGTACCATGGACTGGCTGGCTTGAACAAGAGACATAGTCATGTGCTGCTTAACGACAAGGATGTGTTCTGAAAAATGTATCTTTAGGTGATTTTTGTCATGGTATGAACATTATGGAGTGTAGTTACACAAACCTAGACCGTATAGCCTACTACACACCTAGGCTATATGATATAGCCTATTGCTCCTGGGTTCAAACCTGTACTGCATGTTACTATACAGAATACTGTGGGCAATTGTAACACAATGATAGGTATTTGTGTGTCTAAACATAGAAAAGTTACGAGAAAAATGCAGTATTATAATCTTATGGAACCATTGTTTTTTATGCAGTCTGTCATCGACCAAAACGTCATTATGTGGTACATGACTGTATTAATTTTCTCACAGTTCTGGAGGCTGAAGTCTGAGATCAAGGTGCTGGCAGGGTTGATTTCTTACGAGATATCTTGCTTACTTTATAGATGGCTGTCTTCTCCTTGTGTCTTCACGTGGTCTTCCCTCTGTGCATGTCTGTATTCTAACCTCTTCTTATAAAGACACAAGTCATATTAGATAGGGCATGCCCCAGTGACTTTTTTAAACCTTAATTACATTTTAAGACCCTGTATTCAAATATAGTAACATTCTGAGGTACTGGAGGTTAGGACTTCAAAATTTAGCCCATAACATTAACCAACATCAATTGTTCTTTAAATAATCTTTCCAGTATCAATTCCACTAGGAAGCTTTCCTGATAATTTTCACCTGAGGTCTACACTGCTTCCCTGTGGTCCCAAAACACCTATCACACCAAACAGAAAATAGCTCATTCACTTGTTCACCTTTCCTTCTAGAGAGCAAGAGGTTTGGAGGCTGGGGTTGTGTATAGTTCAAAGCTATAGCTCCACAGCCTACCATAGTGTCTGGCATTTAGTAGGTGGTTAACAAATACTTGTTAAATGGGATGAAACACTGCTAGTTTGTATATATATTTTTCTATCTCTTTTCAAACAAGTTCACGTTAACTTAAAACATATTAAGCATAATGCATGGCTGAATCTACCAGTCTCAGTATATATGTTCCTTTTAGGTTGACTTACATTTTCATTGCCTTTTAAAAGTTATTTTTCATATTAGACTCGTAGTGTGACTGCATCAAAATAGGCATACAAGTGGGAATATTGAGGTGATGCAAGATCCCCATTAAATGCTCTGCCTAACAGCAGCTTCATGGATTTCCAAAGTGTAAAGATGCAGAAGAAAGGGAAGCTTAAGGATTCAAAGATACGCTTTACCAGGTGTTTCATTGTGAAGCCTATCAGCTGTGTACAGTATATGCTCCACCAAGTGACCACATCCTTTTGGAGCTCTTCCTATGAAATTTAGCTGTCCTGAATTTTAAATCCTATGTTATCGAAAGAATAACTCTCTTGTGCTGCCTGCAAAACTGGTCCTGTACACAAGGTCATCTTTGGTGGAAAGGAAATGGAACAGTCTAACCCCTAGGAAACACATGAAGTGGTTGTTTGCTGTGAGGGATAAGATGGATTTTCAATGTTGACAAAAGATATGAGAAACTCTGAAGGGAATATGAATTGGCTCATTATTTAAATATTTCCTAAAGGGATTTCACTACCATCTTTTGTGAGGTGATGCAGAATCTGTGTCCTAGAGGTAGCCAGTTTTCAGAGAAATGATTTTGTGCAGGGTGGTTACAATGGCTATTTGAGACCTCAAATGGTCACCTTCACATCTGAATAAGACGAGTCTGATCATTTCGCATTCAGTAAACTGAGTCTAGAAGCCTTTGTTTTCAGAATGAATTTTTTTTTGCAGTATGTATATAAAATATTTTAAGGGACAACTCCTTTTAAACCTTTCAGTTTGTTCCCCTTCTTATTTTAATCAATGATAACAGGGAGAAGCTCTGCTTGAAGAATTTTTTTAAAGCTTTTCTTTGAACAGGTTAATTTTCTCATTTATTTTTTACATTTTTCTACATGCACTGAAGGTCAAAAGAGTTCTTAGATTTAAACTAGGACGTAGCATTCTGCATAAAACATCCCAAAGGACTTTTTTTAAGTGTAAGGAATCTAAAAAGCATTTGCTTAGAAACTCCTATGTTTCACACACCACTATACAAGCACTGGGTTGCTTTAAAAAGGAATTAAAACAGAGGGTCTTGTACAGCAAGTTGGTTGCACATTTCTTATTTTTGTGCCCCTTTTTCTAGACTGAATCTTTGCACAGTAATTTTGAGTAAGGAATATGCATTCCAAGACTTTCAAATTTCAGGAAAAAAAGTTGGAGGGATTGACAGAGGTTGCTCAACTTTTATTTCATTGAGGTATTTTAAAAAAAAATCTATGCTTTTTCATAAATAAAATAACATATAATTCCCCAAATATAAAAAGGATATAATCTCAGAAAAAAAGACAGTTCTTTTAATTGAGGTAATTGAGTTAACATCTGATGATTTTGTCCTTATTTTTTTTCCCCACTTTCCAGTGAATTTTGGAACATATCCTTAGGGCTGCTTTCTGTCTATGGAAAGGCATTGGAAGTTGGCAATAAAGGTGGCTGGATTTCACCTTAGGGACAGGCTATTTAAAGTGAGATAGGAAATTGAGCAGGAGTTAACCAGAGGAAGTGTGAGCCTAGGAATCAAGGCCCTCACAGAAGCAGGCACCAAGAGTACCCTAGTGCCTTGGAATGCAGATGGGGGGCTGGGTCAGGGAGGTGGTGGTGGGGAAAGGCATATACAAGGTGAGCTGGGGGAGGAAACTTGTAGGATTCTTTTTATTTATTCTGTTTTTCTTTTTTTTATCTTCATAGTGCCTGATTCAAAACCTATGTAGCTAGTCACATTCTGAACATCATAATGTTTTGGAGATGGACTAGGATTTTGGAGTTATAAAGTTATGCGACAGAAAGAATTACACAAGACTGATAATAGGGAAATCTGGGATTTTCTGTAACTCTAACTCTGTCAGGCTGTACCTGAATGACTCTGGCCCATTCATCTCTCCTCTTGGAGACTTCATTTCCTCACAGTGACCTGGATAAAGATGGCTTTGAAACAGATGATAAAATATCACTCTTAGTTTTGAGTTTATGGTTCTGTGATTTTAAGTTATCAAGAGACCTATAGACTTTATGGTGTGATGCAGGGAGAAAATACTCGGAGTATAGACTTGGGAATATAGTAGACTTGTTTTCCTTCTTTAAGTGAAAAAAACTTTTCTTAGTAAGTTCTTCTTCACCCTCCATGAAAACCAAACAAGCTTTAATGACTATAAAAGGCAAAGTTTTTATTGTCAAATAATTATTATGTTAATAAAAGAAAAAAATAAATGAAACTTTACTGGGATAAGGAGAGTGGCCAAGTAGGATATTGGCTTAGGTGAAAGTCTGAAAGACTGCTACCCAATGCATTAGTTAACATCATGTTGTTGATTTCCTATAGGCAAAGCACTGTTTGAGACATTAGGCCAAGTTAGAGAAATGAGTTGATCAATAAGAAGGATTCTATACAGGCAAAAGGAACAACAGGCACAGAACGATTTTAAAAATTATGTGATATGGTCAAAATAGCCGTTAAAAAATGATTTTGGTTGTTGAAGATGATATCATGGTTGATCAAGTAGAAGAAAGGAAATAAGTGGAATTGGGGAATATTAGTTCAAAAAGAAATTAGAATGTTAGTCTGTTGTATAATTTAGGTTTATTGATTCAGTACTAAAGTATCTATCCTTTGTGCTAAGCTTTGCTTTATAATCTATAAGACAGGCACAATAATCATTCTCTCAGTGATGTTTTGCAAGAATTAAATAAAATAATGTAGAGTAGTAGCAACTGTATGTGTTTGCATATGAAATCCAAAAAACATGGTAAAAAAAAGAGAATAAAGAAGCAAGAAAAAGATACAAGGGAGAGAATAAGAGCAAAGAAGTCAAAGACCATGTATTACAAGAGTGGTTCTCAAAATGTGGACTAGATCTAGATCAGCAGCACAGCATCACCTGGAACTTGTTAGAAATAAAAATTATACATGCCTGCGAAACCAGAACCTCTGGGGCTGGAGCCCAGAAATGTGTTTTAACAGACCGTTCAGGTGATCCTGATGCTTGGCTAAAAATGGAGAACCATTGTGTTAGAGTGAGGAAACACAGGATGAGCCGAAGCGGTCTATAGCAGCTGTTTATTCTCTCATTTAAGAAATAGCCCTTCAACAATGGCTTTGTACAGAAATTGCTCAAGGTCTTGAGGATGTACAGATTTCATAGTTTGCTGTCATTACTTATAAGGCATGTTTCTAGTCATTTCTTTACTAAAGCCTCTTCCTCTTTTTCCTTTAATATCAGTCCTTAGGGGCTTTGTTCCTTTTTCTCTGCACATAGTTTCTCTTGATTTTTCCCCATGTTACTTTTTATTGATAAATCCTAAATCCATATTTCTTTCCTCCATCTTACCCAACCTTCTGTCTCATACGTTCCACAGTTTTCAGACTTCTTGATGTCATTACAAATTCAACATAGCTAAACCAATATCATACTCTTCCTTCCCATACAATCCCCCTTCTCATGTTCCTGTTTATAATTTTCCAGTTGAGTTTATGGTATCGTCCCTCTTTCTATTTTCATTTAACTAGAGCAAACTGGTTAAGGGCATGACAGCTGAAGTCAGATTTGTCTGGATTCAAATCCTAGCTCAGCCATTTATTAACTATAACTTGAGTAGCTACTCTATGTGTCAGTGTCCTTGACTATAAAATGAAACGATAATAGCAGCTCTTCTGGGGTGTTATAAGGACTAAAGGAGTTAGTACATGTAAAAACTTTAGAAAAGTAGCTGGCACTTAATAAATGTGCAATAAATGATAGCTATTTTATTGTGGGTGTTAATTCTTTTTCATTTGTTCCTTATATTCTCTATTATCTGTCAATTCTTTAAATTAGTTGTAGGGAATGTTATAGTATAGGTATGGTATAGTATAGTATACCTTCCAACATTTCTTCCATCCCATTAGGTACACAGTCTAAGCCATCAGTATATATTCTTGTGTGGATCTGCTCAGTCCGTGGTAAACCTGTGACCTAAGAAGATGAACTGATTTGGGTAAACATATGACCTAAGATGAACTAATAAAGCTGAAGAGACAGAGTTATATTAATCTGTTTCTGGTTGAGAGGGGAGATTTCTCCTGAATGAGAACAAGGAACTATATTACCTCTGTCCCTGTGGACAGGACACTTCTGTCACAAGGCAGGTCTGCCTGAGGACAGTTTTGTCTCACTCACCATGGATGGATGAGTATAGAGGTGAAAAGAACTTCGGTTCTTGAGAACATTGTCCTGTTGAACCTCTGAATTGAGCAATCATGGAGCCCATTCTATCATTAAATATGTCGCTATGTGAGATAAATTTCTTAGGAACATTTGATTTCAGATTTCCTTTCTTACAGTCAAAAGCGTATAATGAAGTCATTTGCCATTCTCATTCCTAGAATTTAGGAACTTTATAAAAAGGTGCCTATCTTTTTCTGCTTCGATTCTCTTCCCACCCACTTCAGTGTATCTCTCAGATCATTTAAGCATCCCTTAATAACTACTAATCTCTAACATCATCAAGCTCAAAGTCCTTCATCTAACACAGAAATCTTTCATAAGTACCTTCTACCTTTCAAATTGTAATTTTTATTTATTTTGTTTTCTCCTGAATTTCACATTTATACATCTGTTATAACTTAGATTAATCTGTCTAATAAAAATCTCAAGCTTACTAAACCCAAAGCCGAGGTATTAATTTCCCTTGTTTGTTAACCTACTTTGGGTTCATGCTTGACCAGTTCAGTTAATGATACCATCATCCATTTATTTGTTCAGAAAATAAGCTTATCCTGATTTCTCTCTTTACCTCACCCATCATATAACATCCAAACAGTTTCCAGTCCTATCAGTTTCACAGCTATGAGAGACCTGTAGCTGCCACTTTCACATCTCAATTACACCACCCTAGACTGAGTCATCACCCTCTCTCTCCTGGATTACTGCACTGGCTTCCTAACTTCTCTTACTACATTCACTCTTGCTCACTGCCTCTGCTGCACTCTCTCCTTCTCACCATATATCTTTCTCTACTTTAAGAGCCAGAGGTAAAAAATGCTTCTTTAAAAATTTCCAATGGCTTGTCTTTGCCATTAGAAAAAACTCTTAAGTCTTTACTATGTTTTTCAAGGTTCTATTGTATATCTGGGCCCAACTAACTCTTTAATCTCCTTTTATATGACTGCCTTGTTTGTTCCCTCTCTTTGAGTCAACATTGGCCTCCTAGTCATTCCTTAAACACTCCCAGCTGGTTCCCAATGCAGGGCTTTTATATCTGTTGCTTCTTATGCATTGGATATTCTTCCTCCAAAATTTCCATTTGAGGTTGTAATAAAATGTTCCCTCCTTTGGATAGTCTTCTGTGTCCCACCCCCATGCTGATCTACCTTTATTCTCTGTCCCAGTTATATTTTCTTTAAGGCAAATTTTCCAATATAAAATTATCCCATTTATTTTGTTTTCTTATTTATTGTCTGTGTCTTCCTCTGACTTGCTAGTAAAATGTAAGCTTCAGGAAAGTAATAATCTTGTCAGTCTTGTTCACTGTTTTATCTCTAGATAAATCAAAGAGTTTCAAGCACTAAGTAACTGCTCAATAAATATTTACTGATTGAATGAATAAACATGAATTCTAATCTCTAGTAAACTGCTTGCCTTAGTAGTCATAGTGATGATAGGATTGTCTTCTTTCCCCCTCAAATATTATTAACAAAAATTCATTGAACACCTACTTTATTATGGAAGATGAAAAAGGAAGTGTAAGATAGATTTTGTAATTCTTTGCAAGCTAAGAATTTAGAATATATTTGAAATGTCAAGTATGAACACAAGAAATGATTAATTAACAAAAATGTGACATCAGTGGTACAGGGAAGATAAAACATGGAAATTTAATAAAGAGCTGAATTTTCTATAGAAGCCTTATGGTAAGGCTGGTCATAAGGTGAGGTCCACAAAATGTATTAGATGTGAATAGTCTGGAGAGAAAGGGATGACCCAGGTATCCAGGAGACAGGCAACATGATGTGCTAAGAGATTTAATTAGGTTTGTGACCATGGAATGGAAAGAATAGGAATGCAAAAAAGAGACATTTGAAAACACATTTTTGCCTCAACCTTTTTCTTTTTATCTCTATGCCCTTTCCATTGGCTATCTTTGGCTTTTACTGTTTTAATGGAGAGTTTGCCCAAGTCAATAACCATCGCTCCAGCCTCTCTCTCAAATTCCCACCCTACTTTGTCATTTCTTTGTCATATTCCCTACATTTCCTTATATGGGTATATCATCCTCTGGTGCCCCAAGTTCAACATACCTAGACCAAAATTAGCACTTTCACTCTCAAACCAGTTTCCTCTTCTGGCTTCTCTTTTGTTAATGACTTCTTGATCTCTCAGCCGGTGAGGCTAAAGATTTCAAAATGATTTTGCTCCCCTCTTTCCGTTGATTTCTGTGTCCATTTGATGCTCAACACTAAGTTCACAATATCTTTTCCTTCCCTTTCATTTCTTTTGCCTTCACTCCAGGTCAGGCCTTTGACTTTGCCTGGGTCATTCATTCATGAATTTTTTCACTCAGCTAATATTTATCAAACAGCTATTATGTATTAGGCTTTCTTCCAGGCACTTTGGAATACGTCTCTGAATAAAACAGACACAAATCTCTGCCTTCTTGGAGACATTATAGATACAGCATGGCCTCCTATGTGGTACTCTCTCGTCTAGTCAATTCCTTTCATTTCATTGCATATTTTTTTTTCAAACTGATCAAAAAGCATGCTTCTGATTATGGCTAGGCTTTACTAAACCCTTCAATGATTCCCCTTGTCCTAAATTGAGTCAGGCTGGTCTGATATTTACAGCCTCTGAGACCCAGTCTATTTTCTCATCTACCTTAATGAATGATTTTGAGTCACTTTACTGAATACATTCTGGTTAAGAAGTAATTTGTTTGGCAAATTTCTGCACTTGCTAAAAACATGCAGAAAAGAGGAAATTAATACTAGTAAAATTCATGCTGATTAGCACCAAGAATATAAGAGGCTCCCTAGAAGGGCCACGATGGTTTTTTTAGGGAGTACTAAAGGGATCTTGGTTCATTAATGGAAAATACACAGAAAATTGAGAAAAATCATCAGAACAAAAATTTTACTATCAAAACCACTATTTTGGATAAAGATTAAAAACCTTACAGAGTAGAAATCTCACGATTTTTTTTAGCGTGCCAGTTCCTTTCTGTCATGCCATGGACATTGCTCATGGAACATTGGTAAAAATATCATTAAGATGCAAGTTTTAGTGGGGAGGAGCCAAGATGGCCGAATAGGAACAGCTCCGGTCTACAGCTCCCAGCGTGAGCGACGCAGAAGACGGTGATTTCTGCATTTCCATCTGAGGTACCGGGTTCATCTCACTAGGGAGTGCCAGACAGTGGGCGCAGGCCAGTGTGTGTGCGCACCGTGCGCGAGCCGAAGCAGGGCGAGGCATTGCCTCACCTGGGAAGCGCAAGGGGTCAGGGAGTTCCCTTTCCGAGTCAAAGAAAGGGGTGACGGACGCACCTGGAAAATCGGGTCACTCCCACCCGAATATTGCGCTTTTCAGACCGGCTTAAGAAACGGCGCACCACGAGACTATATCCCACACCTGGCTCGGAGGGTCCTACGCCCACGGAATCTCGCGGATTGCTAGCACAGCAGTCTGAGATCAAACTGCAAGGCGGCAACTAGGCTGGGGGAGGGGCGCCCGCCATTGCCCAGGCTTGCTTAGGTAAACAAAGCAGCCTGGAAGCTCGAACTGGGTGGAGCCCACCACAGCTCAAGGAGGCCTGCCTGCCTCTGTAGGCTCCACCTCTGGGGGCAGGGCACAGACAAACAAAAAGACAGCAGTAACCTCTGCAGACTTAAGTGTCCCTGTCTGACAGCTTTGAAGAGAGCAGTGGTTCTCCCAGCAAGCAGCTGGAGATCTGAGAACGGGCAGACTGCCTCCTCAAGTGGGTCCCTGACTCCTGACCCCCGAGCAGCCTAACTGGGAGGCACCCCCCAGCAGGGGCACACTGACACCTCACACGGCAGGGTATTCCAACAGACCTGCAGCTGAGGGTCCTGTCTGTTAGAAGGAAAACTAACAACCAGAAAGGACATCTACACCGAAAACCCATCTGTACATCACCATCATCAAAGACCAAAAGTAGATAAAACCACAAAGATGGTGAAAAAACAGAACAGAAAAACTGGAAACTCTAAAACGCAGAGCGCCTCTCCTCCTCCAAAGGAACGCAGTTCCTCACCAGCAACAGAACAAAGCTGGATGGAGAATGATTTTGACGAGCTGAGAGAAGAAGGCTTCAGACGATCAAATTACTCTGAGCTACGGGAGGACATTCAAACCAAAGGCAAAGAAGCTGAAAACTTTGAAAAAAATTTAGAAGAATGTATAACTAGAATAACCAATACAGAGAAGTGCTTAAAGGAGCTGATGGAGCTGAAAACGAAGGCTCGAGAACTACGTGAAGAATGCAGAAGCCTCAGGAGCCGATGCGATCAACTGGAAGGAAGGGTATCAGCAATGGAAGATGAAATGAATGAAATGAAGCGAGAAGGGAAGTTTAGAGAAAAAAGAATAAAAAGAAATGAGCAAAGCCTCCAAGAAATATGGGACTATGTGAAAAGACCAAATCTACATCTGATTGGTGTACCTGAAAGTGATGTGGAGAATGGAACCAAGTTGGAAAACACTCTGCAGGATATTATCCAGGAGAACTTCCCCAATCTAGCAAGGCAGGCCAACGTTCAGATTCAGGAAATACAGAGAACGCCACAAAGATACTCCTCAAGAAGAGCAACTCCAAGACACATAATTGTCAGATTCACCAAAGTTGAAATGAAGGAAAAAATGTTAAGGGCAGCCAGAGAGAAAGGTCGGGTTACCCTCAAAGGAAAGCCCATCAGACTAACAGCGGATCTCTCGGCAGAAACCCTACAAGCCAGAAGAGAGTGGGGGCCAATATTCAACATTCTTAAAGAAAAGAATTTTCAACCCAGAATTTCATATCCAGCCAAACTAAGCTTCATAAGTGAAGGAGAAATAAAATACTTTATAGACAAGCAAATGTTGAGAGATTTTGTCACCACCAGGCCTGCCCTAAAAGAGCTCCTGAAGGAAGTGCTAAACATGGAAAGGAACAACCGGTACCAGCCGCTGCAAAATCATGCCAAAATGTAAAGACCATCGAGACTAGGAAGAAACTGCATCAACTAATGAGCAAAATCACCAGCTAACATCATAATGACAGGATCAAATTCACACATAACAATATTAACTTTAAATATAAATGGACTAAATTCTGCAATTAAAAGACACAGACTGGCAAGTTGGATAAAGAGTCAAGACCCATCAGTGTGCTGTATTCAGGAAACCCATCTCACGTGCAGAGACACACATAGGCTCAAAATAAAAGGATGGAGGAAGATCTACCAAGCCAATGGAAAACAAAAAAAGGCAGGGGTTGCAATCCTAGTCTCTGATAAAACAGACTTTAAACCAACAAAGATCAAAAGAGACAAAGAAGGCCATTACATAATGGTAAAGGGATCAATTCAACAAGAGGAGCTAACTATCCTAAATATTTATGCACCCAATACAGGAGCACCCAGATTCATAAAGCAAGTCCTCAGTGACCTACAAAGAGACTTAGACTCCCACACATTAATAATGGGAGACTTTAACACCCCACTGTCAACATTAGACAGATCAACGAGACAGAAAGTCAACAAGGATACCCAGGAATTGAACTCAGCTCTGCACCAAGCAGACCTAATAGACATCTACAGAACTCTCCACCCCAAATCAACAGAATATACATTTTTTTCAGCACCACACCACACCTATTCCAAAATTGACCACATACTTGGAAGTAAAGCTCTCCTCAGCAAATGTAAAAGAACAGAAATTATAACAAACTATCTCTCAGACCACAGTGCAATCAAACTAGAACTCAGGATTAAGAATCTCACTCAAAGCCGCTCAACTACATGGAAACTGAACAACCTGCTCCTGAATGACTACTGGGTACATAACGAAATGAAGGCAGAAATAAAGATGTTCTTTGAAACCAACGAGAACAAAGACACCACATACCAGAATCTCTGGGACGCATTCAAAGCAGTGTGTAGAGGGAAATTTATAGCACTAAATGCCTACAAGAGAAAGCAGGAAAGATCCAAAATTGACACCCTAACATCACAATTAAAAGAACTAGAAAAGCAAGAGCAAACACATTCAAAAGCTAGCAGAAGGCAAGAAATAACTAAAATCAGAGCAGAACTGAAGGAAATAGAGACACAAAAAACCCTTCAAAAAATCAATGAATCCAGGAGCTGGTTTTTTGAAAGGATCAACAAAATTGATAGACCGCTAGCAAGACTAATAAAGAAAAAAAGAGAGAAGAATCAAATAGACACAATAAAAAATGATAAAGGGGATATCACCACCGATCCCACAGAAATACAAACTACCATCAGAGAATACTACAAACACCTCTACGCAAATAAACTAGAAAATCTAGAAGAAATGGATACATTCCTCGACACATACACTCTCCCAAGACTAAACCAGGAAGAAGTTGAATCTCTGAATAGACCAATAACAGGCTCTGAAATTGTGGCAATAATCAATAGTTTACCAACCAAAAAGAGTCCAGGACCAGATGGATTCACAGCCGAATTCTACCAGAGGTACATGGAGGAACTGGTACCATTCCTTCTGAAACTATTCCAATCAATAGAAAAAGAGGGAATCCTCCCTAACTCATTTTATGAGGCCAGCATCATTCTGATGCCAAAGCCGGGCAGAGACACAACCAAAAAAGAGAATTTTAGACCAATATCCTTGATGAACATTGATGCAAAAATCCTCAATAAAATACTGGCAAACCGAATCCAGCAGCACATCAAAAAGCTTATCCACCATGATCAAGTGGGCTTCATCCCTGGGATGCAAGGCTGGTTCAATATACGCAAATCAATAAATGTAATCCAGCATATAAACAGAGCCAAAGACAAAAACCACATGATTATCTCAATAGATGCAGAAAAAGCCTTTGACAAAATTCAACAACCCTTCATGCTAAAAACTCTCAATAAATTAGGTATTGATGGGACGTATTTCAAAATAATAAGAGCTATCTATGACAAACCCACAGCCAATATCATACTGAATGGGCAAAAACTGGAAGCATTCCCTTTGAAAACCGGCACAAGACAGGGATGCCCTCTCTCACCGCTCCTATTCAACATAGTGTTGGAAGTTCTGGACAGGGCAATCAGGCAGGAGAAGGAAATAAAGGGTATTCAATTAGGAAAAGAGGAAGTCAAATTGTCCCTGTTTGCAGACGACATGATTGTTTATCTAGAAAACCCCATCGTCTCAGCCCAAAATCTCCTTAAGCTGATAAGCAACTTCAGCAAAGTCTCAGGATACAAAATCAATGTACAAAAATCACAAGCATTCTTATACACCAACAACAGACAAACAGAGAGCCAAATCATGGGTGAACTCCCATTCACAATTGCTTCAAAGAGAATAAAATACCTAGGAATCCAACTTACAAGGGATGTGAAGGACCTCTTCAAGGAGAACTACAAACCGCTGCTCAAGGAAATAAAAGAGGAGACAAACAAATGGAAGAACATTCCATGCTCATGGGTAGGAAGAATCAATATCGTGAAAATGGCCATACTGCCCAAGGTAATTTACAGATTCAATGCCATCCCCATCAAGCTACCAATGACTTTCTTCACAGAATTGGAAAAAACTACTTTAAAGTTCATATGGAACCAAAAAAGAACCCGCATTGCCAAGTCAATCCTAAGCCAAAAGAACAAAGCTGGAGGCATCACACTACCTGACTTCAAACTATACTACAAGGCTACAGTAACCAAAACAGCATGGTACTGGTACCAAAACAGAGATATAGATCAATGGAACAGAACAGAGCCCTCAGAAATAATGCCGCATATCTACAACTATCTGATCTTTGACAAACCTGAGAAAAACAAGCAATGGGGAAAGGATTCCCTATTTAATAAATGGTGCTGGGAAAACTGGCTAGCCATATGTAGAAAGCTGAAACTGGATCCCTTCCTTACACCTTATACAAAAATCAATTCAAGATGGATTAAAGATTTAAACGTTAAACCTAAAACCATAAAAACCCTAGAAGAAAACCTAGGCATTACCATTCAGGACATAGGCATGGGCAAGGACTTCATGTCCAAAACACCAAAAGCAATGGCAACAAAAGCCAAAATTGACAAATGGGATCTAATTAAACTAAAGAGCTTCTGCACAGCAAAAGAAACTACCATCAGAGTGAACAGGCAACCTACAACATGGGAGAAAATTTTCGCAACCTACTCATCTGACAAAGGGCTAATATCCAGAATCTACAATGAACTCAAACAAATTTACAAGAAAAAAACAAACAACCCCATCAAAAAGTGGGCGAAGGACATGAACAGACACTTCTCAAAAGAAGACATTTATGCAGCCAAAAAACACATGAAGAAATGCTCATCATCACTGGCCATCAGAGAAATGCAAATCAAAACCACTATGAGATATCATCTCACACCAGTTAGAATGGCAATCATTAAAAAGTCAGGAAACAACAGGTGCTGGAGAGGATGCGGAGAAATAGGAACACTTTTACACTGTTGGTGGGACTGTAAACTAGTTCAACCATTGTGGAAGTCAGTGTGGCGATTCCTCAGGGATCTAGAACTAGAAATACCATTTGACCCAGCCATCCCATTACTGGATATATACCCAAATGAGTATAAATCATGCTGCTATAAAGACACATGCACACGTATGTTTATTGCGGCACTATTCACAATAGCAAAGACTTGGAACCAACCCAAATGTCCAACAATGATAGACTGGATTAAGAAAATGTGGCACATATACACCATGGAATACTATGCAGCCATAAAAAATGATGAGTTCATATCCTTTGTAGGGACATGGATGAAATTGGAAACCATCATTCTCAGTAAACTATCGCAAGAACAAAAAACCAAACACCGCATATTCTCACTCATAGGTGGGAATTGAACAATGAGATCACATGGACACAGGAAGGGGAATATCACACTCTGGGGACTGTGGTGGGGTCGGGGGAGGGGGGTGGGATAGCATTGGGAGATATACCTAATGCTAGATGACACATTAGTGGGTGCAGCGCACCAGCATGGCACATGTATACATATGTAACTAACCTGCACAATGTGCACATGTACCCTAAAACTTAGAGTATAATTAAAAAAAAAAAAAAAAAAGATGCAAGTTTTAAATATGTTTTCTTAGGCAGCAACATACAAAATAAAAACATGTTGATTTTGATCATTTTCATTAGTTACTAACATTTAAAAAATAAAGAGCTTTATAAAATGACAGAAGCAGAATGGATTATTATGAAAAAAGTAAATGAACACATTGAGGTACATATTTCTCTATTTGAAATTGGTATTAAAACAGAGAACTACGTTCACAAAGACAGAAATCGTTAGAGCTTATGTTAGACTTACCTGGGCTATATAGAATAATGACTCTTATTCCATATAAAAATTCTTATATTTTTATCTTAGTAATAATTCATGTCTAGAAGTATCAGATTCTGTTTCATATTAGTAAACGTTTAACATGTGAGTAGACTGTCTGACCAATTATGATGTTAGTTTATTTGAGCTGCTCAAAGAACTATGAAATGGGATAGATAAGAGGCAATTACGAATTCCACCAATTAAAATGTAATGATGAATTAAAACTTCCATGAAGGAAGAATTAAAGTTTTGATTAAGTAGAGTCTTAAACTAACTTGTAGCAAAAGAAGATGAGAGGAAGGGAAAATATTTCAGTATCGTCCCATAGCTTTCAATTTTCAATATATTTACTTCTGGTCAGCTGATGCAAGACAGTTTCAATTTCAGATGGATCTCTCCCTCCCTGTAATGGAGGACCCTTTGTTATTGGCATACCATTTAAGTTTCTGAAAATATTCTGCATTTCATTTAAACTAAAATGCCCAACAGCATTTTAATATGAAGGAAGACAGCCATGTCGGCAGTCATGAAGACAATTTAGATCCTTATTATCCTTTTCCAGCACTGGTGCATGTTCTTAGACTTGTGGGAATATGAGCCAGGATAGTATTGTCTTTGACAGCATGGGTTCAAAGCCTGGCTTTGTCACTTATCAGTTTTAGGATTTTGGAAAATTTCAAATCATTTCTGTGATTTAGTTTCCTCTTCTATAAAATAAAGCTACTAATAATATTTACCTCACAAGCTTATTGTGAGAATTAAATTATTTAACATAGTTAGGGCCTTTATAGTGATACTTGGCACCTGGTGAGTTTTCAATGAATGTCGACTACTATTTTAGTCTACAGCATAGTTTCTTTATAAGTTAGAGAACACATTCCAAAGCACTCTATTCATCTTTGTGCTACATTTTCTTGTGTCTATGAAGTAATGACAATTTTTAAACAGATGTTCTAGTTATGTTTGTGACCCTGTTGAAAGTATTTCCTAATGAATATTCCTGCTCTTTTATGTAATATATTGACATGACTATGTTTGTGAAAACATATATTTTACTGGTAAATTTTAGGGATAAAAACTGACTTTTTTAAACAAAAGGAACTGGCAGAACAGGGCAGGGGATGGGACACTGGACTGGGAGCCTGGACTAGTGGTCTCCAGGGCATGGTTTTAACCAAGGGTTATACTCTGGGCAGGGCACCCCACTTCCCTTCTTGGTTTCACATTTGAAAAATTAGAGAGTTATCTAAATGCATGCCAAAGGCTCACTCAGTGCTCAAAATCTATGATTGTTTCCTCTATAGACATAATTATTATGTAAGCCCACACGTTTATTCCCATGATGTCACTATGTTTACAATATTTTAAGGACCTATGAAAAAGTAGCATGTTCTTTGATTATTTTTGATGACATCAAATTTTCCTTTTAAAAGTAGACTGAATTTTTCAAACAGTAAAAAGTGTCTTGACGTTATGTTTGTTGAGTAGAATGAGTGTTTTGAGTGTTAAAAATGTGATTTAACTATAAGGGAATAAAAGAGTTTTGGAGAGAGTCTTATAATTACTCTGGAGAGTATGTGTGTGTGCGTGTGTATGTGTGCGCATGTGTGTGTGTGTATTTTCAAGTGCAGTGTAAATTTGTGGTTTTAAGTTCTGGAATATTTTGTTAAAAAGCCTTTAGTAACACCTAGATTATATCAGTAAAATAACTATGCTTTTTGTAAACCAATGGGTTTCTGAATAAACAATATTTACTGAGATCTAGAAACAGCACAAATCTTATTTGTAAAAAGGCTAATCAGACTTGCTGCTTGAAAAGCAGCTTGGTCCAGCATCATGGGCTTATTATCCAGCTGAAATACTGCCTTGCACCTTGCACTAGTCATTTATCTTCCCTGTAGCTCAGGACTTATCTCAGAAAAATCTAATAAAGATGCTTGTTCATTAAGGGTACTGTTGCATCTTGAATATAGTGTTCCCTGAATGCTGTATGATGTAGTGCAAGAAGAATGGAAATTTGTATCACTTAAAAATCTACCCCATGGGGTTGCTGTTTGATGTCTAGGTTTGTGCTTAGCAGTGAGAATGCTATATGCTTCTTGAGAGTAAAGGTTTATAATTGTTTAAAATTTGGCTACAGTTTGGCAAGACTAATAAAACTAATCTCAAATCATATGGAGCCCATAAATATTTTTGAAAAATTCACATACTGGAAATATCACTAACTATACTTATTCTGTCATCTATTTAGACTAAACTCTAAAATAAATGTAAATTATTTGGATTCTCCACTAGAAGTAGCAGTCAGGGTGCTTGCTAAAACTCATAGGATATCCGTCATAAAAGTAGCTCCACAAGGATTCAGGAAACAGAAAAAGAATGATAGACAAAAGCTTACTCATTTTTCTTGTTTATTGAAGTTCTTTAAGTTAAAAATCCTCAATTCAAAACAGATGTTTTAAAGAGGAGGTTGCTCTGAAATAGGAATAGCATATTCCTTTGTATGGATTCCAGAGGCTAGTCCTTATCTAAATAGATGTGTATTATATGAGAAAAGAAAACAATTTCCTTTCACATCTTATAGCATAAAATGTTATTCTTTTAAAGCAAAAATATATGTATAAATATATATAATATATATATTATTATAGCATCCTACTCCTGTCTCCCTTTGAGAGTGAACCTTCAGTGTCCTCTTTCTTGCTTTTATTTTGAGACTCTTCAAATGTTCTCCTTTCTTAATTATCTGCCCATCTTAATTATCTTGTTTTCTTGATCTGGAACAGAAAATGTGGATACAATGAAACCAGCTGATGTTAGTGGTATATATATACACACATAAAATTAAATAAAACATATATATAAATTAAAAAAAAGTCTGATGTATTGTGAGAGAGAAGAACAATACCAATAGGAATATGTTACTGTGATGTGAGCAACAACAGAATAGAAATCTGTAGGTTGTATGGTTCTTAGAAATAATTATTTATTTACCGGGTAGTAAATGATCATAATTAAAATAAATAATCACTGCCTTTCTAAAAATGATGAAATACAGCTGATGCAAACTTGTAATAGATGACCAAGAAAAGGAGAAGTAAGACAGCTGGAAGAAGTAGGAGAAAAGAGGGGGCTGTTTGTTGCCATTTAAATCTGCATAGCCTTTCTTGTTCAGGGTCCTGGATTTTATGCACTTCTTTGATTTTTCACCAAGTTCTCCCTATCCTTTCTCCAAACTTATCTTTTTTTCTAATCCCTTTTCCTAATTCTTTTGTAGTATTCTTACTGCTTCCCAGCTAGAATACTTGCAAATGGCCTTCTTCAATTAAAAGCTAACCTAACACCTCAGACTCCTCAAATCCTCGTCTGTACAGATATTTCTCTTCTCAGAGCCCCACAAAGCTGGTGAACGGTGCTGCATAAGGACACGAGCTTCAACCTGAGGCCTAGATCTGTTTGTTATTAGTTGTGTGAATTTGGCAAGATATTTAAGTCTGAGGCTCAGTTTCCTCAAATTTATGAAATGCAATGCACAGAGTTGTGGCAAGCATTATATGAAACATATCAAGTGTTTAGTGTAGTAGATGCTTTATAACTAGCAGCTGTTGATAGTCTATCACATTCAATTTTAGTTTCTCTACCTAAATCCCTCAACTAATATTATTTCCAGTGAAGTTGTTCCTTCTCATCATCCTTTCAACACATGATGGCCGTTTTTATTTATGTGAATCTCTCATGTTTTCCTGAGTATTTTACCTGCACCTGCTCTCATATCCAAATTCGATTTATTTTTGAATTCTCCCTGCTCAAGTCTAGTAACCATTTTTATTCTAACCTTCACTGATTTTGTTTTCCTTAAAATTTTTCCTGCAAGTATTGTCTATACTATATAGTTTAATGTATACTTTGATATTGCTTAATGTTTACAAATGTGTCTCAATAATGTCACTTCTGCTCTCAGAGCTTGGGGCTAGTTTATATTTTGCATCTCTAAAGGGAAGCCAGTTAACTGTTTAACTTCTGGTTTTATGTACCTTTCTGAGAGATTCTTTTAACCAGCTGAATACAGAGCTTAAGCCATTTGTTGACCAATCCTGGAGCTACTAAGTGGGCAATCAATGGGGGCTGCTTTTTTCCCCTTGCTGAATGGTGAACAGAATGCTTGGAAAGCACCCCATTCCAATTGGGGTATTAAAGGATTAGGATTATGCTGTCAAGTTAAAGGAATGTTTTTTACTTTCCTTGTGGGAAAAAGCATAAAAATTATTACAGCAGGGAGTTGGAAAGAAGGGTAGGCAGGTGCTGTGTTTGTTTTCTTTTTCTTCTTAGATTTTTTTTCTTAGCTTTTTTATTGGTTGGATGAAAAATTATAGAAACCAAGAAAGAAAAAATAATTATGATAAGAAGGAAGACTTTAGAAATTATCAAGCAAGCAAAATGCACAGAGGTTTATCTGGCTGTAAGTAAATGGGCTGATCTTTAGCCAAAAAGTTAAGTAGATCTTTTATTCATGTATGAAATAATTATTGAATGCTTACTGCATGCTAAACAAGAAAGTGGGCACTAGAGATGTACAAACACACGTGTGAACTCAAGGAGCTCAGGAGCTTTCCAACAGGAGGTAGGAAACAAGAGGTAAAGTGTAAGAAGTATCAAGATAGAGAGAGGTAAAAAGATCTAATGTTCTCTTTTTGAATAATTTTTTGAATAATTTGTATTTTTACTTGTAAAAATACAAAGTAAAGCACTAAATATTCTAATACTTAATAGGAAAAAAATTCTTATAGTTATAATATTAAATTAAATATTCTAATAGTTTATAGGAAAAAAGACTACAACTAAGGAGTATAAAACTAATCAAATAAATGAATAAAAGTAGCTATTTATGGACCCATTATGAGAGTATTGTGAAGTACCAAGGATTGTGATTTGTTCTACTCTTTGTGTGTCTATGTGTGTGCATGCATGCATGTGTAGAGAGAGAGAGATAGAAAGAGATCTTATACACCAGTAAAAGACAAACAGAGAGCCAAATCATGAGTGAACTCCCATTCACAATTGCTTCAAAGAGAATAAAATACCTAGGAATCCAACTTACAAGGGATGTGAAGGACCTCTTCAAGGAGAACTACAAACTACTGCTCAACAAAATAAAAGAGGACACAAACAAATGGAAGAACATTCCATGCTCATGGGTAGGAAGAATCAACATCGTGAAAATGGCCATACTGCCCAAGGTAATTTATACATTCAATGCCATCCGCATCAAGCTACCAATGACTTTCTTCACAGAATTGGAAAAAACGACTTGAAAGTTCATATGGAACCAAAAAAGAGCCCGCATTGCCAAGACAATATTAAGCAAAAAGAACAAAGCTGGAGGCATCACGCTACCTGACTTCAAACTATACTACAAGTCTACAGTAACCAAAACAGCATGGTACTGGTACCAAAACAGAGATATAGACCAATGGAACAGAACAGAGCGCTCAGAAATAATACCACACATCTACAACCAGCTGATCTTTGACAAACCTGACAAAAACAAGAAATGGGGAAAGGATTCCCTATTTAATAAATGGTGCTGGGAAAACTGGTTAGCCATATGGAAAAAGCTGAAACTGGATCCCTTCCTTACACCTTATACAAAAATTCATTCAAGATGGATCAAAGACTTCAATGTTAGACCTAAAACCATAAAAACCCTAGAAGAAAACCTAGGCAATACCATTCAGGACGTAGGCCTGGGCAAGGACTTCATATCTAAAACACCAAAAGCAATGGCAACAAAAGCCAAAACTGACAAATGGGATCTCATTAAACTAAAGAGCTTCTGCACAGCAAAAGAAACTACCATCAGAGTGAACAGGCAACCTACAAAATGGGAGAAAATTTTTGCAATCTACTCGTCTGACAAAGGGCTAATATCCAGAATCTACAAAGAACTCAAACAAACTTACAAGGAAAAAACAAACAACCTCATCAAAAAGTGGGTGAAGGATATGAACAGACACTTCTCAAAAGAAGACTTTTATGCAGCCAAAAGGGACATGAAAAAATGCTCATCATCACTGGCCATCAGAGAAATGCAAATCAAAACTACAACGAGATACCATCTCACAGCAGTTAGAATGGCCATCATTAAAAAGTCAGGAAACAACAGGTACTGGAGAGGATGTGGAGAAATAGGAACACTTTTACACTGTTGGTGGGACTGTAAACTAGTACAATCATTGTGGAAGACAGTGTGGCGATTCCTCAGGGATCTAGAACTAGAAATACCATTTGACCCAGCAATCCCATTACTGGGTATATACCCAAAGGATTGTAAATCATGCTGCTATAAAGACACATGCACACGTATATTTATTGTGGCACTATTCACAATAGCAAAGACTTGGAACCAAGCCAAATGTCCAACAATGATAGACTGGATTAAGGAAATGTGGCACATACACACCATGGAATACTATGCAGCCATAAAAAAGGATGAGTTCATGTCCTTTGTAGGGACATAGATGAAGGTGGAAACCATCATTCTCAGCAAACTATTGCAAAGACAAAAAACCAAACACCGCATGTTCTCACTCATAGGTGGGAATTGAACAATGAGAACACTTGGACACGGGAAGGGGAGCATCACACACCAGGTCCTGTCCTAGGGTCGGGGAGTGGGGAGGGATAGCATTAGGAGATATACCTAATATAAATGATGAGTTAATGGGTGCAGCACACCAACATGGCACATGTATACATATGTAACAAACCTGCACGTTGTGCACATGTACCCTAGAACTTAAAGTATAATAATAAAAAAAAAAGAGAATCCCTAAGTGTTTATTTGAAACACACTTGTTAAAAGTGTGTGTCATTTTTGTGAAACGCAGTATAGCAGAATGGTTAAGAGACCCAGTTTTTGGAGCCAGACTCTGGGTTTGAGTCTCAGCTCTAATAATCGACAGCTTCCTGAACTTGCACAAGTTACTTTACTTCATGATGTCTCAGTTTCTGTATCTGTACAATTAGGACAGCAACAGTATTTACCTCACGGGTTATTATGTGTAGTAGCTGAGAGTCTAGCATATAGTAAGGACAATATAAGAATATAAGCTTGACATTATTCTTATATGCTTTTAGAAGAAATATAAGGGAAGACAGAATGTACAGTGACCAGAAAACTGGATATGAAATCAGAAATTTTGAATTTTTTCCAATTTTATTGCTTTTTTTTGTGATTCTAAGCAAGTTGTTTATTCCTGTGGACTACTTTCATCCCTGTCAGAAAGGGCATAGCTACTGTTAGTTCCATTTCTAAAAATTCTCAAATTCTGCGATTAGTTTGAACAACTGTTTATATATGTGTCACTATCATGAATCTAAGAAAAATTATTCTCCATGCAACTTGGAACACGTAATTGTTTTTGTGACTTTGGGTAGTTCTATATCCCAAGTTTAGGGTCTAGAAGCCAATAAGCAAAATGTGACCTCTTTATGGATGAACTATAAAATTAAACTAATGAATTTTTCCCAATATCCACTTAAGATTTGAGAATAGACTTGAGCTCATACTTTTTGGTTATCTTTTTAGCTTTCTGCATTGTTAAGATTCTGAAGTCAACACTGGAGTTAACTTTATTTATTGCACAATGAAGTCAACCCGAAAAATTCAGTTTTCTTCATTCTTGAATGCCTTTAATGAGGCAACATATGACTAAATGTTTTTAAACTAAGAAGTTACAAGATGAGAACCACATAAAACATCTGATGACAAATCGTGTCAGGTAGAGAATTCACTGCAAGCCTTACTTACCACACTCACGCACACATCTGATGACCAAAAAAAAAGACTGACTTTAACTTCTGCTGCCAAGTTATCTAGTTTATGTGCAGAAAGGACACAAAAGGAAGCAAAACTCTTCTAGCCATTTCTATGGTTATATAAATTCTAGCACTTACTGGTTCCTTGAAGTCATTCCAATGTGTGTTCGCTCACATACAATCATACATGTGAGTGTATTGATATAACCCATGTCTCCGAACCTGAATTTGATGCTTGTCCAGGTGCAGACTCATCCACTCAGTGTATGTACTTGTAGCATAGCAGTCATGCACTAATAAGCAATGCTATAATGAACAAATGTGCAATGCCTCATATGATTGTTCTAAAGTGCCTATGAAATATATAAACATATAAGACGTCTGGCAGGTAGCAGATAATAAATGTAGTTACTGTATCACTATATATTTTTTATTTTACATACTAATATTTATTACATATTAAAGTAACTTAATATTTTAGAAGTTGTGTTATAGAAATATAGTCACCTGAAAAGTAATATTGAATTATTAAAAATCACCTAGTATACTATATTTTCAGTGAAAATAATCACAATAGTAATATGTAATATCAATGGCCCCGGATGCTGATGTATAAAACATACTGACCACAGTGTACTAAAATGGTTAAATTTGATGATCTTTATAATTTTTAAAATCAGTTAACAGAAAGGGAAGATCTCTTTTTCCTTATGGCTATAAAAAAATGGAACAAATGCAAATATTTTCTGAATTTAGCGAGAGGTTTTGGGTGATAAATTAATGTGGCACATGTGTATAAAGAGAGGAGCTGGCACACTGATGATCGCCAGGTCCTGCTTCTTTCCTGGCTCTCCTTTTCTCCATATGTCCAGGGAATCAGGATGCAGGGTGTCGTTACCAAGAAACTCCACAGAAAGAAACAATTTAAACTGCCAACATCTGTACTGCATATCAAACAAAGGAAAAATAATGCTTAATGCTTAATAATACTTTTTAGCAGTTCACTAGAGTACATTTTCTGAGAATTAAAATCTCTGATAGGTAAAGCACTGCAGGGCTAATAAGAAATGCAACACTTGGTGTGATTTATTAAACATTTCTTTAATTACTATTACGTTCATGCATTATTTTTTACATAAAAAATCCAGAAAATCGCTGGGCGCGGTGGCTCATGCCTGTAATCCCAACACTTTGGGAGGCTGAGGCGGGAGGATCACCTGATATCAGGAGTTCAAGACCAGCCTGCCCAATATGGCAAAACCCCATTTCTACTAAAAATACAAAAAATTAGCTGGGTATGGTGGCGTGCATGTGTAATCCCAGCTACTTGGGAGGCTGAGGCAGGAGAATCACTTGAACCCGGGATGGGGAGGTTGCAGTGAGCCGAGATCGCACCACTGCACTGCAGCCTGGGTGACAAGAGCGAAACAATGTCTCAAAAAAAAAAAAAAAGCCAGAAAATCAAGTCTGAAAAGCAAGAACATCTTTAGCAATGAAAAAGCCAATTAACCATAACTAATCAATAATCAATAATCCTTTTCTCAACTAGCTCTGTAATGTTAAGCATGCATTAAACATTTCTGCTGGTCTTTTACCATGAAACCCTGGATCCCTTTTCATTCTATTATGCTTTTCCATCCTCACAACTAAATTAAAAGCAGTGGTGTGTTTCTTCCCTTAGAAGGGTCTCTTCTATTTGTTCCTTCTCCGTATTTCCCCTTGCCCCATCAAGGTCAAGTTCCAGGCTTACCTTCTCTGGAGAGCTTTCACTCATTTTCCTTTGCTTAACTACTCTGTATGCTG
Source organism: Homo sapiens (assembly GCF_000001405.40). NCBI lineage: Eukaryota > Metazoa > Chordata > Mammalia > Primates > Hominidae > Homo > Homo sapiens. The sequence goes on along the minus strand of NC_000004.12, from coordinate 93,628,416 downwards.
TTCAATTATTTCAGTACCTTAACTACACAATTTAAAATAATATAAATAAATAATACTGATATTATATACATATATATCAACACACATTTATAGAAATGTCTATATTGTTCTTTGTTTCTTGTGCATGGGTCTTATATCTCCAACTAGATGCCAAGTGCTTTACAGACGGATTCCCTATGGCATAATTGATTTTTGTAGTTTGTTCCTCTTAGAATTTGCTCGTCAATAAATGTATTTTGATTGATTATTATTTAGTATTTTGCTTCCCAGTTAATGCATATGTATTTCACTTTTGGCTCACTATAACCTCCACCTCCCAAGCTCAAGCGATTCTCATGCCTCAGCCTCCCAAGTAGCTGAGATTACAGGCATGCACCACCACACCTGGATAATTTTTGTATTTTTAGTAGAGATGGGGTTTCTCCATGTTGGCCAGGCTGGTCTCAAACTCCTGGCCTCAAGTGATCCACCTGCCTTGGCCTCCCAAAGTGCTGAGGTTACACGTGTGAACCACTGCGTCCAGCCTATTCATAATCCTTTACTCCTTCCTTCCCTATATGTGGGGTACATTTACCCACTCTATTGATTTTGGGCTTGGCCATGAGACTTGCTTTGGTTTGTGATCTGTGGGCAGATGGAACATATGCCACATCCAAGCAAGAAACACAGGAGGCACTGCAGGTTTCTGCCAGCCTCTTTTACAAATGCTCTTTGCAATGAGAACAGCATGTCCCTGTTAGGTCGGCTTCTTCAGCCTGGGCCTTGGAATGAGAAGCTTGCACAGAGTAGGACTGCAGTTGACCCACAGCTTGAAGCATAACACAACCAAATTACAGCCTTGTTTCATGAATGAGAAGTAACTTTTCTAAATCACTTATACTTTAGAGTTGTTTGCTACACAGAAAAGCTGACTAGTACAGGACCTTAGAATTAATCTAACTTCATTTTGCATGTCATGAGAGAGGTTTAGATTTTTATGGTTTGCTAATGGAAGAGTTATGACACAAATTGTGAACTACTGATTTTTAGTTCTTTTAAAAAAAAACATACACACAAAATGCCTGGATTTTTTGTTATCCTAAAATTTGGAGAAATATAACTCAAGTTGTTTGAAATTTAGGGCCTTAGTACTATCTGGAACTGTCCTCTTGGACTGTCATTAGATTCTAGAGAATAGGTAGAAGAAAATCTAGAAAATAAACAAAATGTACTTTCAGTATAAAATGGATATACTTCTATGTGGAAGATATTAATCTGTCTTAGGTCCAAGCTTGTTTGGTAGGAGATATAATGAAATGCAGTAATCTTTGTGCACTCCTTTGAGGCCCAAGTCTTTCATATGCATTGTTAATCTAAAATATATATTTAAAAATCTTCCATTGTAAACAACTCCTTCATCATAGAAATTCTGATTTGAAAATGGATATAATGTCTCAATAAGTTATCTCCTTGATTTCCATGACAAAATCTCACATATACTTTGATGTTAAGCGGGGAACTCCAAAATCTTAACCATTTCCTTTGAAAAATTCAGGTGGAAACATCCCTGTCATTATCTGCTTCAGTCCATCAGAGCTTTAACTTGGTCCTGAAGTTTATGTTATGCTTTTGTATCCTCAGAATGAATTCATTTTCTTAACTCTGTGACATTTGTTGCTAAAAATTCAGACTAGACTACTAGTTTAATTCTAATAGAAATTACTAACACACCTACTTTCTTTTCCATGTCAATTTTTTGAGAGTAAAACCAGTTATATGTAGCATTATTTTTCCCGCTACTTATGGAAAAAACAATACTTCATGTTTTAGGTAATGAGTGTCTTATTGAACAACTACTTATAACTATCTTTTTTGTTGTTGTTGTTTATTGTGCTTCTCCTAACAAAGGAAACAAAATGTAATAAACCAGATCTGGTAACCAAATGGATATTCTTTGTCTAAATTTCATCTCTCCCCTTATTTGGTCATACACAAATCTTACCTTTGTGAAAAAACATCTCGGTAAGGACTGCCATGTTGTAATGCAATTCCATATCCCCGATCAGCAACAGTATTTCCAATGGTGTAAAAGGAACAATCTGGGTCATTGATAGCCACATATTCCAATACAGCTGCATCCCATACGAAAGCATAATTTCCATATTTTACCTGTGAAAAAATGAAGAACAAAAGAAGAAATAGGGTTTAAAGTTGGAATTTTAATTTACATAGACAGGATGAAAAACATTACATTGGTATATATTTAATTATGCTAAAAATAATAGAACATATAATCATCCTTCAGTATCTGTTGGGGATTGATTTCAGAACCCCTGTGGATACCAAAATCCAGGGATGCTCAAGTCCTTATATAAAATGTCATAGTATTTGCATATAATCTCTACACATCCTCCAGTATACTTAAATCATGTCTAGATTACTTATGATACCTAATACAATGTACATATGCTATGTAAACAGTTGTTGCGCTTTATTTTTGTTTTGTTTTGTTTTGTTTTTTCTGAGACGGAGTCTTGCTCTGTCGCCCAGGCTGGAGTGCAGTGGCGCGATCTCCGCTCACTGCAAGCTCCACCTCCCGGGTTCACGCCATTCTCCTGCCTCAACCTCCCGAGTAGCTGGGACTACAGGCGCCCACCACCGCGCCCCGCTAATTTTTTGTATTTTTAGTAGAGCTGGGGTTTCACCGTGTTAGCCAGGATGGTCTCAATCTCCTGACCTCGTAATCCGCCCGCCTCGGCCTCCCAAAGTGCTGAGATTACAGGCGTGAGCCACCGCGCCCGGCCCACTGTATTGTTTTTCATTTGTATTTTTATTATATTATTACTCTCTATTGTGTTTTAAAAATATTTTCAGTTCATGGCTGGTTGAATCTGCACATGCAGAACCTGCAGATATGGAGGGCAGACTGTATTTCTAAGTAAGCTTTTATTCTGAATGAGAATTTGTACTTTGGTTAATTTATATCTCTGTTCTGAAAACATGGGAAAGGTCGAATGTTTACTATACTTTTAGGCCACGTTGCTTATAGTAAAATGACCCCTGAGTGGAAAATGTCATTTGGATTGAGAGAACAAAAAATGCATGAAAGGAAGCCATGTCTTTGTGCTTCTACCAGTTCAGTGATTCATGTGACTGGGACTGCCCCTTCTGGGGACCCTGAAAGCTATGCCTTTGGGGTTATGACAAGAGCTACTGACGCCTTGGGTTACTAGGCTTCTAAGCCAGGTGGGCTTCTGTACTCACTCAGTATAGGTATCATCTTGCATGTGATCCCTATTCTAAATGAAAGCTGCAAGTACAACTCACATTGAAGAAAAAATGACAATGCTGCCCTGCTGATGAGCTATATCTCCTGTCCTGTGTCCTTCTAAATTAATCTATTGTCACATGTGGCCTATGGATATCTTGCAGCTGAACTTAGAAGAAAACTCCCTGGTGGGCATTGCAATGAGGAAAATAAAACGATTCCACAACCTCCTCTATCATCACTTAAGGAACACAACTTTACTCTGGTTCACTTACAATGTCTTTAGTGATTATTTTTTTTCCCCTCAGTAATCACTCATACACTAAGTCACAAATTTACCCAATAAAAGCCCAACCTACTATCCTAAACATCTCAATAAGGTATATTTTCAACTTTTTCACATATAAAAATGGACTTAAGAAATTCATAAAATAAATAGAAGTAATAGTTAAACTCCAAGGTTAGTTTGCTTATATTAAAAGAATAATGTAACATTATTAAACAAGGAAAAGCAACATTGGTTCAGTATTAGAAATGTTACTGGGGTGACAACATATCTTACAAATGAGGCTTTATAAAATTTTTAAATGATCTTTCAATAGACACAAGAAAGATACTTGGCAAAATTATAAACAGTTGTCTACCTGTTATCTATCTATTGGTAAACCAGGAAGAAAAAAAATCCGTAATGAGATACAGAATACTTCAAACAACAGCAAGCCTATTACAAGCTTAAACTCTCTTTGCATTGCCATTAAAGTAAAGAAAATTATGCTTGCTAGTAATCCAAAATTAACATTATTGTAACAACTTTATCCTATGCAAAAAAGGATGGAAACAAAACTATGATTGCAATCTATTAGGAAAAAATTATCATCCAGTAGAGACAAAATTATCATTATTTGATGATATATTCAAGAAGCCCACCAGAATCAAGTGAAAAAGTATTTTAAAAATTCAGATTAAAAAAATAGATTGATCATAAATGGATATATACAAATGATTTGCTTTTCTATTAATATATTAATGAGATGATAGTTTGAGTAAAAATATCTATGTACATTAAATATAAATACATAGAGAGAAATTTAACAATAAATTAGTAGGAGCTATATGAAGAATACCTTAACACCTGACTGAAGACAACTTGAACAAGTTTCTGTATAGACATAACATATTCCTAAGAATGCAGATGCATAATTACAAAAGACATTTAAATTTTCCTCAGATTCTCCAATACAAAATGTAATTCTAAATAAAATGCCTGAAGGTTATTTTAGAACCTCTTAAGACCTTTGCAAATTTAATTAGGAGAAAACAGACAAGAATAGTAATGAAATTTTGAAAATTAAAAAATTAATAATTATCAGAGACTTAGAATACCAAGTAATGAGACATGTTATAAAGCTTAAAAATAAAACAGTACAAAATGTATTTAAGAATAGAAAATCAGTGGAACAGAACAAAAGTTTACTGTTTTTAAAAGTATATAAATGTTATATAAAGACTGTATTAGACTGCATAGTATTCCATAGTGTATATGTGCCACATTTTCTTTATCCAGTCTATCATTGTTGGACATTTGGGTTGGTTCCAAGTCTTTGCTATTGTGAATAGTGCTGCAATAAACATACAGGTGCATGTGTCTTTACAGTAGAATGGTTTATAATCCCTTGGGTATATACCCAGTAATGGAATTGCTGGCAGTTCGTGTCCTTTGCAGGGACATGGATGAAGCTGGAAACCATCATTCTCAGCAAACTAACACAGGAACAGAAAACCAAACACCACATGAACAATGAGAACACATGGACACAGAAAGGGGAACATCACACACCAGGGCCTGTTGGGGGGTCAGGGGGCTAGGGGAGAGATAGCATTAGGAGAAATACCTAATGTAGGTGACAGGTTGATTGGTGCAGCAAACCACCATGGCATGTGTATACCTGTGTAACAAACCTGCACAGGTTCTGCACATGTATCCCAGAACTTAAAGTATAATAATAATAAAAAAAAGAATCATCTGCCATCATAAAACTTTTACCTCTCTTTAAAAAAAAGACTGTATTAGAAAGTCGATAAATCAAATCAGTGTGGCAAATATGAAATATTCAAAAAACGTGAGACAGGTGATTATTGCAAAAATGTCAATATTAGAGCACTATGTCACATCACACAAAATAAATTTCCGTAGTGGAATAAATTAAATATAATTTTTTAAAGACCAAGTTTTAAGAAAAGAAAAACTAGAAGAACATGCGAGACTTTTTTTGGTACTGAAAAAAGAATGGAATATCAAAACATAAAGGTAAAGGAAGCAAATATAGAAGAAATATTTAATTGTTGCCTTTTAATAAATTTGCTTAGATCCCACCAATATTGGATACCCAATAAAAAGTTTTGTATGAAACAATGAATGGCCTAAAACCTTCAGTCCAGTTAACTGTGCTCAGTGGATACTTACTGTCTTTTGTTGAGGTGAACCCCAACCAAACCATGAGGTATTGAAACAGACAAAAGTTTTTTCCCTAAAGAAAGCATTTAATTCAAGTATTACTCATGGAGTGTCTGTGGTACCCTAGACCCTAGTTTAGGTGCTATCGGTCAGTGTTTCTCACAATGTGATGCGAAGACTACCACCATTAGAATTACTAGGGGATTTTTGTGTTAGAAATGTAGATTCTAGATCTAATCCCAAAGTTACTGCATGATGATGTTTGATGTTTAAGGCCTGGGAGTATGCATTTTAACAATCCTGACAGCTTATGCACACCACTTTTTTATTACTAATGATGCTGATGATAAAAAAATGAGTAATATCATCGGAAACAATTTTATATACGTGGGGCTTGATATAATTATAAAACTAGGAGATGCTTGGAGTGTTAGTGTGAGAGAAGGAAAAACACTTGGTTAGGTTTCGTCTGCATTGATTTCTCACCCACAGAGTTATCCCATAGTTTCCTTCTTTTCTCTGATCTTTGCAACCAACTTGCAGACCTGCTTATAGCTCCCTAGGTCTAAATTTACAGTGATTGGGAGTAGCAGTGACCTTGAAGCTTCCTCTAACAACCTACTTTGATTTTTGTGATTATCTTCTGTTTTAAACTGTTAGTCTGGCCTCCTGGATCCCCTGGCAGCTTCTTTACAAACCTCAAGGGACCTCCCCAGTAGGCGACATATTGCTTTGCTGTTAGAAAAGTTTTCTAGCATTGTTGTCAATGCTTTGTGAACTGTAGAGCTCTACTTAAATGTATAGTAACATTATCCTTGCCATTATATATGCTGTCTCTTGCAATACTAATGTTCCAAAGAATTATGAATGGATTTTTAAAAAGAGAATCATTAAAACAGTGTGATTATAGCCTGTAGCAATGGCAATGAAAGGTTGCATAGTAACCCAAACTATTTTAGCTTTTAAAAATGGCCCTGGCCTTTTTCATCAATTAAAACATATAATCACTGCCTTTTGAATGGTCTTTAACCATCAAATGAAAACTCTATAAAATACTCATCAACAAAGTCTGAAGTCACCTTTCAACAGAATAATAATTGAAGGACTGGCCTAAAAATTTTCAATCCATCTGACTAGGTAATGGAGTTTTCTTAAAATTTTTCAACTAGCCCTGTTCTTGAGGCCATGTTTAGACAGGCAACTGAATCACATGCCATTGATTTATTTACTAATGGATTCCACACCAGCAGAGTCCTTCATACTAGGTTAAACAGAAGAAAGCAAAAGTGAATCTGGGAGCTTCATGTCAGCATATTCCAGGTCTCATTATGAGGAAGAAAAATAATCCAAAGTGATATCTACCTCTAGTGTTTTCAATCTCCAGACCCCAAAGTAGAGATGCTAGGATGCTATGGTTATTGATTGACATTGGTAACTATTGAGGCTCAGCACCTGTGTCCTCGTAATAGTGCCTGAGATATCAATAGACTCCCCGTGATAAATTTCTCACTTCCCAGATAACACTAGGAGCTAGGTTTTGTTCCCATTTCTATATTTTTCTTTAACAGTTGTTGTTTAAATTCAATTTTACTAACAATCATTACACATTAACTCTAAAATCCTGAAGGTTAAGTCTATAAGGAATATAAAGGTAAGACTTGGGCCCCCATCATCAAGCTGCTTACAACTCAGTAGTGGAGATAAGTCAAGTACAAAATTGTTGTAACACGAATCACATTATGGTAAGGATCATATGAACAGATTTTGTTTAAAGTCGTAAAAGAAAAGGGAAATTAATTTTTGTTGGAAGGAATCAGGACAAGTCTCAAATATTCTGGTAACTGAAATAGCTGTATAAGAAAACCCCAAATATTTAAATTCCTTATCAATAGTACCTAACCAATTGAAAACATAGATATGCTTTGGAGACCATTTCTCGTTTATGCACATTCCTCTAGCCTAAAATTTTTTGAAATTTTCCATTTGTCAGGTGAAGAACTGTAAATATTCAATGTTATTTTCTTGAATATTTGCATTTCTTGCCAAGTAAAGTGAAGAATGGGAAAGTGCATTTTCAAAACCTGCACCTATGTTCCTCAACATGTTAGGGATTATGACACATTTCTATTTGTATATAGATTACTTGTGTCCTGTATGCTCCTGTTCTGACATCTCCATCATGAGCTGATGCTGAAAGCACTTTGCTTTTTAATTCATTAGGTAGCAGCCTCCTGTACTAACTACAGAAGTCCATGCCACAAACAGACTTATCGCTACCTGTTATCTCACCAATTTTGATTTGAATCGGGAGGACAATACTCTTTCTCACATGAATCTTTAATTTAGTAAATTTCTTAAAAGCTCACTCCAAAATCTATGGCTTCAGAGACACAGAAGTGATGATCCTTTCTTATTAAAAAACATTCAGTGGGAACAATTATGGAAAAGTGACATTAAACCAAAAGGGTTAGATAGGAATTTCCTTTGCTAAAGAAAATCCTCCCTCTGTCCTCCATTTATTTCTTATGATAATAGATAACATTTACCAAACATGTTTCAACTGCTAAAAATGCCATTTACATACACATTTATTTGTTCTTTACAACACTGTGAGACAGCTGATAGGATATCTAATTCACAGGTGAGGTAATTGTAACTTGCTCTAAGTCATACCAATGATTTGCGGTAGATTTGGAATGTGAGATCAAGGCTATCTTCCTATGCTCTTTGCACTACATTAAATATAAATTTCTGGGAGATTCTCCATAGGAATGCAAAAGCATGTGACATAGAATAGCCTTTGCCTGTAAGGTATAGCCTATGGAGTTTGAGAAACAACAGTTACGTAAAGAAATATAATGCTATGTAGTTTACGGCAAGGGCCACAGAAAGCATGCAGCTTCCTCAGTTCTATATGATCACGGTATTAAGGTAAAAAAAAATTGGGCTTTTAAGAAAAAGGTTGCTTACTTCTCAAGATCATTGGAAAAAATGAATATTTGGTTTATATGACTCTGGACCCTCGAGGCCTGTTGATTTTGTAGCCATTGCTCTCTAAGCATTTCTGATTCTTAGGAATGAAACAAAGCAGAGCTTTTGAAAATTAAAATAAAGCTTGAATAATGAAAATCTATTTTTCCTCATCAAATAAAAATGAAAAGGCCTGAGAATAATGTGAGGGAAATAAATTCTAGCCTTGCCCACTAAGCTGCAAACTTCTTTCCAATTTTAACTAATGGTCAGTGGGGGATAATGTGATTGTGAATCACAGGCGCAAAGAGTTATGATTAACCCAGAATTGATTTACAGTGGTCCTTATAATTCATTGCCCACATAAGTCCTAAAGATGGGATGGCTTTAATATTTATAACACATGGTTCTGGGCGGTAGCCTCTCACACTTTGGGCAAATTAATAATTTAGCAGCATTCATCAATTCTTCTGAATTTATACAGCACAATAAATCATGATCAAACTCAAGTTTAAGTACTTAAGACTGACTTTAAAATATATATGGTTTTGTTTACTGCTACCTTAATTGTTGGCCTATGATAATTTATCTGTTATTTTGTCAAAATTTTAATTTGTGCTCTGACATAGTTATCATAGGGCACAAACTTTCAAAAAGAATATATGAATGTATTTAAAATAAACATCAACTTTTTTAAAAAAATCAATTTTTTAACCTAGAAAAGAAGTGTTATGCCCACCTCTAAATCTTATTTCTTGCCTGTTCTTTTGGAGATTATCAGGAATACTAAATATATTTTTTAAAGTTTTTAAAAGCATTCTAGGAAAATAGAAAACTGAATGTAGCTTCTTTACCCTCCGCTGCCAACTTTTTCTTGAAACAAATGGCTGCTGGGCTCTGGAAGACAGAAGGTTAGAAAGGTTGGGGCTCTAGGTAGAGCATGTGGGAAAAGAACTGGTGATTCTCTCCTTCAGGCTGGGTGTGTCTGCGAAAACAAGTGCAACCTGCAGGGAAGGCAAGGAAGAAACTAAGTTTGAGGAAAGCTTGGTTCACAGAGATCTGTGGCTCCCAAGTCCTCCGGACTTCCTTCCTTAGATATTTGTTACCATTAATATACATGTTCTGTTGCCTTTAAACTGGCCAGAAAGAGTTGAATGGATGGACAGAGACCTCCCTATCCTGGAGTCCTGTGCCTTGGGTCAGACCAGAAGACTGGAGAGCCCTTAGCTGCTTCTGTGTGTCTCAGGAGGGGAATGGAGTCACCTTGTTTGTTCTGGCCCACAGGAAGAGAGGATATTTTACCTTCTACAATTAGCAAGACTGCCAGTCCCTAGGCTACTTCAACAACTAGACCTGAATCCTCATGAGCTGACGAAGAAAAAGAATAATCCATGTAGTGAGTTCCACAGTCGGAAAGGGAAAAATAAATTAGAACAAGTAGAATACACTCCAGGGAAACAGCAGTGTGGAAGATTACAATTCTAACAGAAAAGTAAGAAGAGCACTTAACTGGATTCAAGTGAGACCAAAAAAATCTTTGAGGCTACAACAAATAATCCAGCCCCAGTTTCTCAACCAAAGTATTGAATAGATGAATTGACGGAAATGCTCATAAATGTAAGCTTAATAGGAAGAGCTAGGGTGACAATTGCCCAGGTTTGCCTCCAATGCCCAGTCATAGCACAAAAGCCCCATGTCATGAGTAAACTTTCAGGGAGGCAACAAATCCAGGTTTTTGGCAATGGGTACAGAAGGTTAGGGGGGGTAGTATCAAACCCATACCACGGCTCAAAAAATAGCTGAAAGCAACACTGTTTTTGTAGCAGATGGATATGGCATAGATTATGTTTCCCACAGTTGCTGTCACTGTTTTTCCTCCTGACTGCTGATGTTGGCAACTGTGATTTGCTGTTCACAATAATGAATCACCCCTTGTTGCACTGCTGTGAGTGCTGAGGCTTAAGTGTGTTACTTAAGCACATTGTATTCATGAGTATTAACAGTCCTTTGTCTGTGGATTAACGGTTTTCTTGGTATCATCTCGATACCAAGATAATGTTAATTTAACTTTCGATACTGGTTTTTTTCTGAGAGTTCAGATAATAAAAATGAGAATGATTATAATACCAATGCCAGCATGACCCGAATATCGCTGAAAAATAAGGCTAAATGACAATGTTATCTTATTACAGATGGAAGGACAGAAATAACTGGATCAGGGAGGCAAATAACCAAGACAAACTACTGCACAATCTGCAGAAAAGAAATTTGCAATTGGGTATGATGGAGGAAAACGATGTAAAAACACATATGCAGACTGAATCTCATAGTTTGGAATAAGACAGGGAATACTTCTAAATCAATCAAAAGATTCTGTGTCTCCCAAAAGACACCAATGCACAGTTAAAAACAGTGGCTATGAGTTAGTTTGGGCATACCACATCAAGAAACATACATTATTGTACCATTCCCCTGATAGCTCTATAAAATGGAATGAAGCTACTTTTCCTCATTACTAGGTTTCAAATAAAATGTGCCGTGGGAAAACAAAAGGACAAAATTTTGCTAACAGACGTGTTGGCCTCTTACTCTATAGAGCTGATTCTTTCAGATCTTACTTGAATGTTTTCTGCAGTAAAGTTTTGTGTCAAATAATGGCAACAAAAACTGATTCATCTAGCTTTTAGGTACTTTTATTTTAAAAATGGAGCTTCAAATCATCTTCTTGATTTTTATGAATTTTTTTTTTTTTTGAGATGGAATCTCATTCTGTCGCCCAGGCTGGAGTGTAGTGGCATGATCTTAGCTCACGCAAGCTCCACCTCCCGGGTTCACGCCATTCTCGCCTCAGCCTCCCGAGTAGCTGGGACTACAGGCGCCCACCACCACGCCTGGCTAATTTTTTGTATTTTGTTTAGTAGAGATGGGGTTTCACTATGTTAGCCAGGATGGTCTCGATCGCCTCACTGATTTTTATGAATATTTTAATAAAACTGCAGAAAACATAAAGCAAAAGTTTACTGATATTTTGTCCAGATACTTGCCCTCTACCTGCATATTCTATAGACATTGCAAGTGTAAATTTAAGCAAGTTTTGTTTAGTCTATAAACTTTTTTTTATATTTATTTTATAAATATAATAAAATATTTATTTTATAAATATTTATAAAAATAAATATTTATATTTATTACAGCCTGGGCAACAGAGTCTCATTCTGTTGCCCAGGCTGTAATGCAGTAGCTCGTCTGAGACCACTGCAGCCTCCACCTCCAGGGTTCAAACCATTTTCCTGCCTCAACCTCCTGAGTAGCTGGGACTACAGGTGTGCACCATCACACTGGTCTAATTTTTGTATTATTTTTGGTAGAGACAGGGTTTTGCAATGTTGGACAGGCGGGTCTCGAGCTCCTGGCTTCAAGTGATCTGCGTGCCTTGGCTTCCCAATGTGCTGAAATTATAGGCGAGAGCCACTGTGCCCGGCCTTAGTCTATAAACTTCTTATCTAAGAAAATTAAAAGATCTTACCTGCAAAATGAACTGCACAGCTTGTGTACAACATTGCTTACCTGTGATATTAAAGCTTTCATAATTAAAATTTTTGATCACTTTTCAGTTACCTCAAAATGTGCAGAAAAACTTGAGGATTTTTACTTAATAGAGATGGAAGGAGATAACTAGCTCCTTTAGACATATGACTACAAGATGACTATGAATGGCTAAAATGTTGGACTATCATAAAACCATTTTCAAAGTGTGAGACAAGAAGAAATGTCCTTCTCTAATTTGGAAATACATTGAGTGACAATGCAGAAAAGAATACAGTAAAATAAAAATTTATATACTATATTTCCAAACTTGCTTGATGATTTTTGAAAAAAACCATAGGAGTATAAAAAAGGATGAACTGACTGCACCTGTGTTGTTTGATGGTATGTGTAGATTGTAACAAAAACTCAGAGTGAAACAATGACACATTAAAAAAATACAACTACTTCAAAACTTTTTTACTACGAAACAATAAAAATAAAAAATAAAACAGTAAGTCACCACAACAAGGTAGCCAAGTTACACAGAACTTCCTCAATTTCCTTTTTTTTTTTTTTTGGGGTGAAGGCCTTTTATTATTAGCACATAATAATTGTACATATTTATTGGAGTATAAATTAGTTCAACCATTGTGGAAGACAGTGTGTTGATTTCTCCAGGATCTAGAGCTAGAAATACCATTTGACCCAGTGATCCCATTGCTGGGTATATACCCAAAGGATTATAAATCATGCTACTATAAAGACTTTCTCTATTTCTTTACTAAAACTGTAACTTTAGAATCTAGCACCAATTTCACAAAATTCAAATTACTCTTGTGCTTTAAAATCATTTTCCTAAGAGAGATTTCACTTATAATAACATCCAAAGTGCTTCAGAGTGTTTAAAAATGGTGGACACCTTAGATATATTTAGCTTATATGATGAATTTATAGATGCAAAGACGATTGACAAAAGCCTGGCCTTTAAAAGAAAGCTTGTAGAATCAAAGAGTATGGACATCTTTTTGGAGAGCTGGAACTAATTTCTATGAGTTGAAAAACATTATTGCTAATAATTGAACTCTCATTTTATAGTCAAATGCTTGTTAAGAGTATATTTAGCTTGGTGTCATCACATTGGAATGACACCAGAATCAACGTAATGCAGGCTTGATAAGAGCAGCATTGCACACCAAAGTGCATTTTATGTTTGACTATATTCAGTTCTACAACTGAATAAAAGAAAAGGAAGCCCCAAAAATTACAGGCAATTCATTGAAGTATTATCGGAGAAGAAAGAGTAAAATTGTCCTACTATATTTGGGGACAGAAAAGAACATGTTATTGCTGTTGTTATTTAATACAGTTAATATCTGTTAAATTAGTCCTGTAGTATTTATGTTCCCCTTTTAAAAAGTTTCACACTTATATGTCTTAAATACACACTACAAATGTAAATATCCAGCACGGTGTCAGCAAAGAGTTAAAAATAACTGCTGTATCAGAGGACAGAAAAAAAACCTTATTAAAATATTGTTATACTTTTGTCACATCTATTATTTAATTAGTACTACTATCAGTTACTACTTATTGACCCTGTTAACTCGTCCTGTTGTTTATATAGCATTTTGTAATAAAAATAAATAATACAGAATAATATATAATTTTAAATAAATGACTATTTCATGTTTTTATGTTAAAGTAATAAAACATATATAATTATTATTACACACTATATTTTATGGGTTTTGATCTGATGCATTTGTGTTCTGGGTTGTCTATCTAAAAAGCTGGTCACTTTTTAATGAATGTTGTTGGCATAATTGACAGGAAGAAAATAAAATCAAATCATTTTGTACTCTAAATAATAATTTTCAGGGGGGAGGAGCCAAGATGGCCGAATAGGAACAGCTCCGGTCTACAGCTCCCAGCGTGAGCGACGCAGAAGACGGGTGATTTCTGCATTTCCATCTGAGGTACCAGGTTCATCCCACTAGGGAGTGCCAGACAGTGGGCGCAGGCCAGTGGGTGCACGCACCGTGCGCGAGCTGAAGCAGGGCGAGGCATTGCCTCACCTGGGAAGCGCAAGGGGTCAGGGAGTTCCCTTTCCCAGTCAAAGAAAGGGGTGACGGACGCACCTGGAAAATCGGGTCACTCCCACCCGAATATTGCGCTTTTCAGACCGGCTTAAAAAACGGCGCACCACGAGACTATATCCCACACCTGGCTCAGAGGGTCCTACGCCCACGGAATCTCGCTGATTGCTAGCACAGCAGTCTGAGATCAAACTGCAAGGCGGCAACTAGGCTGGGGGAGGGGCGCCCGCCATTGCCCAGGCTTGCTTAGGTAAACAAAGCAGCCTGGAAGCTCGAACTGGGTGGAGCCCACCACAGCTCAAGGAGGCCTGCCTGCCTCTGTAGGCTCCACGTCTTGGGGCAGGGCACACACAAACAAAAAGACAGCAGTAACCTCTGCAGACTTAAGTGTCCCTGTCTGACAGCTTTGAAGAGAGCAGTGGTTCTCCCAGCAAGCAGCTGGAGATCTGAGAACGGGCAGACTGCCTCCTCAAGTGGGTCCCTGACCCCTGACCCCCGAGCAGCCTAACTGGGAGGCACCCCCCAGCAGGGGCACACTGACACCTCACACGGCAGGGTATTCCAACAGACCTGCAGCTGAGGGTCCTGTCTGTTAGAAGGAAAACTAACAACCAGAAAGGACATCTACACCGAAAACCCATCTGTACATCACCATCATCAAAGACCAAAAGTAGATAAAACCACAAAGATGGGGAAAAAACAGAACAGAAAAACTGGAAACTCTAAAACGCAGAGCGCCTCTCCTCCTCCAAAGGAACGCAGCTCCTCACCAGCAACAGAACAAAGCTGGATGGAGAATGATTTTGACGAGCTGAGAGAAGAAGGCTTCAGACGATCAAATTACTCTGAGCTACGGGAGGACATTCAAACCAAAGGCAAAGAAGTTGAAAACTTTGAAAAAAATTTAGAAGAATGTATAACTAGAATAACCAATACAGAGAAGTGTTTAAAGGAGCTGATGGACCTGAAAACCAAGGCTCGAGAACTACGTGAAGAATGCAGAAGCCTCAGGAGCCGATGCAATCAACTGGAAGAAAGGGTATCAGCAATGGAAGATGAAATGAATGAAATGAAGCGAGAAGGGAAGTTTAGAGAAAAAAGAATAAAAAGAAATGAGCAAAGCCTCCAAGAAATATGGGAGTATGTGAAAAGACCAAATCTACGTCTGATTGGTGTACCTGAAAGTGATGTGGAGAATGGAACCAAGTTGGAAAACACTCTGCAGGATATTATCCTGGAGAACTTCCCCAATCTAGCAAGGCAGGCCAACGTTCAGATTCAGGAAATACAGAGAACGCCACAAAGATACTCCTCGAGAAGAGCAACTCCAAGACACATAATTGTCAGATTCACCAAAGTTGAAATGAAGGAAAAAATGTTAAGGGCAGCCAGAGAGAAAGGTCGGGTTACCCTCAAAGGGAAGCCCATCAGACTAACAGCGGATCTCTTGGCAGAAACCCTACAAGCCAGAAGAGAGTGGGGGCCAATATTCAACATTCTTAAAGAAAAGAATTTTCAACCCAGAATTTCATATCCAGCCAAACTAAGCTTCATAAGTGAAGGAGAAATAAAATACTTTATAGACAAGCAAATGCTGAGAGATTTTGTCACCACCAGGCCTGCCCTAAAAGAGCTCCTGAAGGAAGCGCTAAACATGGAAAGGAACAACCGGTACCAGCCGCTGCAAAATCATGCCAAAATGTAAAGCCCATCGAGACTAGGAAGAAACTGCATCAACTAACAAGCAAAATAACCAGCTAACATCATAATGACAGGATCAAATTCACACATAACACTATTAACTTTAAATGTAAATGGACTAAATTCTCCAATTAAAAGACACAGACTGGCAAGTTGGATAAAGAGTCAAGACCCATCAGTGTGCTGTATTCAGGAAACCCATCTCACGTGCAGAGACACACATAGGCTCAAAATAAAAGGATGGAGGAAGATCTACCAAACCAATGGAAAACAAAAAAAGGCAGGGGTTGCAATCCTAGTCTCTGATAAAACAGACTTTAAACCAACAAAGATCAGAAGAGACAAGGCCATTACATAATGGTAAAGGGATCAATTCAACAAGAGGAGCTAACTATCCTAAATATTTATGCACCCAATACAGGAGCACCCAGATTCATAAAGCAAGTCCTGAGTGACCTACAAAGAGACTTAGACTCCCACACATTAATAATGGGAGACTTTAACACCCCACTGTCAACATTAGACAGATCCATGAGACAGAAAGTCAACAAGGATACCCAGGAATTGAACTCAGCTCTGCACCAGGGGGACCTAATAGACATCTACAGAACTCTCCACCCCAAATCAACAGAATATACATTTTTTTCAGCACCACACCACACCTATTCCAAAATTGACCACATACTTGGAAGTAAAGCTCTCCTCAGCAAATGTAAAAGAACAGAAATTATAACAAACTATCTCTCAGACCACAGTGCAATCAAACTAGAACTCAGGATTAAGAATCTCACTCAAAGCCGCTCAACTACATGGAAACTGAACAACCTGCTCCTGAATGACTACTGGGTACATAATGAAATGAAGGCAGAAATAAAGATGTTCTTTGAAACCAATGAGAACAAAGACACAACATACCAGAATCTCTGGGACGCATTCAAAGCAGTGTGTAGAGGGAAATTTATAGCACTAAATGCCTACAAGAGAAAGCAGGAAAGATCCAAAATTGACACCCTAACATCACAATTAAAAGAACTAGAAAAGCAAGAGCAAACACATTCAAAAGCTAGCAGAAGGCAAGAAATAACTAAAATCAGAGCAGAACTGAAGGAAATAGAGACACAAAAAAACCTTCAAAAAATCAATGAATCCAGGAGCTGGTTTTTTGAAAGGATCAACAAAATTGATAGACCGCTAGCAAGACTAATAAAGAAAAAAAGAGAGAAGAATCAAATAGACACAATAAAAAATGATAAAGGGGATATCACCACCGATCCCACAGAAATACAAACTACCATCAGAGAATACTACAAACACCTCTACGCAAATAAACTAGAAAATCTAGAAGAAATGGATAAATTCCTTGACACATACACTCTCCCAAGACTAAACCAGGAAGAAGTTGAATCTCTGAATAGACCAATAACAGGCTCTGAAATTGTGGCAATAATCAATAGTTTACCAACCTAAAAGAGTCCAGGACCAGATGGATTCACAGCCAAATTCTACCGGAAGTACAAGGAGGAACTGGTACCATTCCTTCTGAAACTATTCCAATCAATAGAAAAAGAGGGAATCCTCCCTAACTCATTTTATGAGGCCAGCATCATTCTGATACCAAAGCCGGGCAGAGACACAACCAAAAAAGAGAATTTTAGACCAATATCCTTGATGAACATTGATGCAAAAATCCTCAATAAAATACTGGCAAACCGAATCCAGCAGCACATCAAAAAGCTTATCCACCATGATCAAGTGGGCTTCATCCCTGGGATGCAAGGCTGGTTCAATATACGCAAATCAATAAATGTAATCCAGCATATAAACAGAGCCAAAGACAAAAACCACATGATTATCTCAACAGATGCAGAAAAAGCCTTTGACAAAATTCAACAACCCTTCATGCTAAAAACTCTCAATAAATTAGGTATTGATGGGACGTATTTCAAAATAATAAGAGCTATCTATGACAAACCCACAGCCAATATCATACTGAATGGGCAAAAACTGGAAGCATTCCCTTTGAAAACTGGCACAAGACAGGGATGCCCTCTCTCACCGCTCCTATTCAACATAGTGTTGGAAGTTCTGGCCAGGGCAATCAGGCAGGAGAAGGAAATAAAGGGTATTCAATTAGGAAAAGAGGAAGTCAAATTGTCCCTGTTTGCAGACGACATGATTGTTTATCTAGAAAACCCCATTGTCTCAGCCCAAAATCTCCTTAAGCTGATAAGCAACTTCAGCAAAGTCTCAGGATACAAAATCAATGTACAAAAATCACAAGCATTCTTATACACCAACAACAGACAAACAGAGAGCCAAATCATGAGTGAACTCCCATTCACAATTGCTTCAAAGAGAATAAAATACCTAGGAATCCAACTTACAAGGGATGTGAAGGACCTCTTCAAGGAGAACTACAAACCACTGCTCAAGGAAATAAAAGAGGACACAAACAAATGGAAGAACATTCCATGCTCATGGGTAGGAAGAATCAATATCGTGAAAATGGCCATACTGCCCAAGGTAATTTACAGATTCAATGCCATCCCCATCAAGCTACCAATGACTTTCTTCACAGAATTGGAAAAAACTACTTTAAAGTTCATATGGAACCAAAAAAGAGCCCGCATTGCCAAGTCAATCCTAAGCCAAAAGAACAAAGCTGGAGGCATCACACTACCTGGCTTCAAACTATACTACAAGGCTACAGTAACCAAAACAGCATGGTACTGGTACCAAAACAGAGATATAGATCAATGGAACAGAACAGAGCCCTCAGAAATAATGCCGCATATCTACAACTATCTGATCTTTGACAAACCTGAGAAAAACAAGCAATGGGGAAAGGATTCCCTATTTAATAAATGGTGCTGGGAAAACTGGCTAGCCATATGTAGAAAGCTGAAACTGGATCCCTTCCTTACACCTTATACAAAAATCAATTCAAGATGGATTAAAGATTTAAACGTTAGACCTAAAACCATAAAAACCCTAGAAGAAAACCTAGGCATTACCATTCAGGACATAGGCGTGGGCAAGGACTTCATGCCCAAAACACCAAAAGCAATGGCAACAAAAGCCAAAATTGACAAATGGGATCTAATTAAACTAAAGAGCTTCTGCACAACAAAAGAAACTACCATCAGAGTGAACAGGCAACCTACAACATGGGAGAAAATTTTTGCAACCTACTCATCTGACAAAGGGCTAATATCCAGAATCTACAATGAACTCAAACAAATTTACAAGAAAAAAACAAACAATCCCATCAAAAAGTGGGCGAAGGACATGAACAGACACTTCTCAAAAGAAGACATTTATGCAGCCAAAAAACACATGAAAAAATGCTCATCATCACTGGCCATCAGAGAAATGCAAATCAAAACCACTATGAGATATCATCTCACACCAGTTAGAATGGCAATCATTAAAAAGTCAGGAAACAACAGGTGCTGGAGAGGATGTGGAGAAATAGGAACACTTTGACACTGTTGGTGGGACTGTCAACTAGTTCAACCATTGTGGAAGTCAGTGTGGCGATTCCTCAGGGATCTAGAACTAGAAATACCATTTGACCCAGCCATCCCATTACTGGGTATATACCCAAATGACTATAAATCATGCTGCTATAAAGACACATGCACCCGTATGTTTATTGCGGCACTGTTCACAATAGCAAAGACTTGGAACCAACCCAAATGTCCAACAATGATAGACTAGATTAAGAAAATGGGGCACATATACACCATGGAATACTATGCAGCCATAAAAAATGATGAGTTCATGTCCTTTGTAGGGACATGGATGAAATTGGAAACCATCATTCTCAGTAAACTATTGCAAGAACAAAAAACCAAACACTGCGTATTCTCACTCATAGGTGGGAATTTAACAATGAGATCACATGGACACAGGAAGGGGAATATCACACTCTGGGGACTGTGGTGGGGTTGGGGGAGGGAGGAGGGATAGCATTGGGAGATATACCTAATGCTAGATGACACGTTAGTGGGTGCAGCGCACCAGCATGGCACATGTATACCTATGTAACTAACCTGCACAATGTGCACATGTACCCTAAAACTTAAAGTATAATAAAAAAAAAAAATTAAAAAAAAAAAAAGAAAAAAAAATAATTTTCAGTTGGACTAAATAGTTTAAAATAAAATAATAAAATCCCTATAAGAAAAACCAGGGGAGCATATGTAATACATATAAGGAAGGAATTTTTAACCAACTTATTAAATCCAGAATACATATGTGTATATATGTATACACATAGACGTATATATATACACATATATGTGTGTGTGTATATATACATATATGTGTATATATATGCATATATATACTTATATACGTATATATATATATATGTAAAGTTAGACATTTGGTTTATATGAAGCATTTAAAAGTAGCTTTGTATGAGAAAAAACACCATTCACAAAGCCAAGAAAAGACTGACAAATTTGGAAAAAATTGGAACATGGGGGACAAACAGTTAATGTTTAAAATTATACAGATGCTTCTCTAATGATTTAACTAGAAAAGAATAGCGTGTGCAAAATAAAAATAGATGGCATCTGAAGAGGCAATGCAAAATAGTACAAATATATATGTCCAACAGCATATGAAAAATACCCAAACTCATTAGTGGTGAGTACAAAATAAAATGAGGGGCATACTGCTTTATATCTATTAAATGTCTGGCAATACTTAATATCTATTGCTGGTGGAGATGTATGGAGAAGTGTACTCTCACATATTGCTAGTGGAAACAGGAAAATGTTATAGCCTTTTTCAAAAGCAACATCTATTCAAATTAAAAAATACATAGATGTCTTTTGGTCCAGCAATTCCATTCCCAGGAATCTATCCAAGAGAAATAAAAATTTCGGATTAAAATACAAGAATACTCAGTGCATCATTGTTTATTGTGACATCAAATTGGAAATAGTGGTAATGTTCATCAGTCATAGAATGATGATGTGTTCCTGCCAGGAAACATTATGGAACCATTAAAATGAATCTACTAGAGCTATACAAGGTGCTATGGAAGGATTTCTACGATGTGTTTGCAGAATATTAAAAAGCAAGACACAGAAAGTATTTATAATGTAATCCTATTTTTTAAACCAACAATGACCAGGACTTATATAAATACATGAGTATATGTGTAAACATGTTAGTACGTTATTAAAAATGCTTAGAGAAAAATATGGAATAATACTATGTATTCCATTTGTTATCATTTGAAGGTAGAAAAATATGGCTGGAGGTGTGAAAAAAGAGAAGAATGGGGAAAAGCCAAGCAGAACAGTAAAAATAATGCTCTAAAAGACAAGTGTAGTTACATTTATGCATTTATGAAAATTACATGTGTGTAAATACCTAATTGAAGGTTTTTGTTTTTTAATAAGATTTTTTGAAAGTCAAGTTTATTAAGGCCTAATTTATACATAGTCAAATTCATAATTTTTAGGTATACAGTAAAGAATACTGAATAAAAGCCCAAATATTTTTGTTTTATGTTTAGAATTTTTAAATACCATCATTAACATATACAGTAAAATAATAGTTAGCTTTTGAGTCCTATGATTTATGAGTGTATAAGTCCTAGGGTATTCATAATTACATGCTCATAGTTGCTTTGCTCTAATAACTGATTTATTCCTAGTCAGGCCAGGAGGGCCATTGACACACCTTAACTTTAAACTGAATAATATGTTTACATAAAATTATAATGGAAGAAGATTGGAAGAAACCCAATACACATAAAATTTATGATAAAATTGCTAGATCTTGCCATCTGTCCATCTATATTTCCCTTTCCCAACCACTGTTAATAGGTATGTGCATATGGATTCTGAAAAAATACTAGGGAGAAAGTTTGCTTTTGAAATTATATTGTAAAACAACCTAAATCCTAAAATAAGTGAGACATTTCTACTTTTATAACAGAAATCAATTTTATCTCTAGTTGGGCTCACCTTCATGAACAGCATTTGTTCTCATTTCTCATACTTAAAATTCCCTAAATGGCTGTATTATTTCTTGCCCTTGGTTCTTAGATATTCATTTTCTTTTGCTTGGAGTGTTTTCCTGTTCACCTTCCCCTCTCAGTTCTACATTTTTTTATTTGTATTTTTTTTTGAGTCAGACTCTCTCTTTGTCGCCCAGGTTGGAGTGCAGAGGCGTGATCTCAGCTCACTGCAGTCTCTGTTTTCCGGGTAAAAGTGATTCTCCAGCCTCAGCCTCCCAAGTAGCTGGGACTATAGGCACATGCCACCACGCCCAGCTAATTTTTGTATTTTTAGTAGAGATGGGGTATCACCATGTTGGCCAGGCTGGTCTCAAACTCCTGACCCAAAGTGATCTAGCTACCTCTGCCTCCCAAAGAGCTGGGGTTACAGGCGTGAGCCACCATGGCCAGCCTCAGTTCTACTTTCTACCATCCTCTCTAACTTCTACTAATCTTTTCATAACTGGGATCAGCTTAGATGTCACTTATTCCTAAAAATTCTCCAGGACCCCAGGCTTTGGTTAGTGTCCCCTTATATGATCCTATCGCACCTTGTATTTACTCCTAAAGCAGCATTTTAGCACATTGCATTATACTTACCTCTTTTGACTTTGTTCTATGCCATGTAACTGTAAACTTCTGGTAGGCTGGAACTGCATGCTTTTCATGCTAGTATCATCACCTCTCCTATGTCTAGCACAAGGCCCAATATTATCAGGAGTAGGCAAGTGATAAATACTTTTTGTTGAAGAATTATTCACTTTCTTTCTTTCTCGTGGTCACAAGACCACCATACCTTGAACTCCCTATTCATTCAACTATTACTATATTCCAATTCTCAAACATTGGTAATAAGGACCAAGTAATAACGGAATGTTGTGACAGATCAATGATATTTCTACTATATATAGACTATACATAGTGTTCCATCAGAATAAAGGTATTTAAGTTACCATTATTAAGGTAAACCATTGTGGTTTAAGTAGCATAGATACCAAAAGATTCAAAAAGTGTAGGTATGACTCAGCACAGTTTCATAGAATGTTTTGAAATGTTGGCAGTGTTCTATGTCTATGCTGTCCAATATATACCCACAAGCCACATATGGCTACTGAGCACTTGAAATGTGGCTAATATGATTGAGGAATTGAATTTTTAAATTTTATTTAATTTTAACACATTTAAATTTAAATTAGTCACATGGGGCTAGTGGGTTATCACATTGGACATTGCAAATTTGAAGATATTTGTTCCTATGGAAAAGTATGATTTTTGCCCCCCAGAACTACTCAAGAACAGTCATTTTTGGCATATAATCATAGATGGGCTTGCATTTCAATTAGCTCCTTCATATCTATACATTACTATTCCCAATTATAGGCATACCTCAGAGATACTGCAGGTTCAGTTCCAGACCACAGCATTAAAACAAATATTGCAATAAAGTGAATCACATGACTTTTTGGTTTCCCAGTACATATAAAGGTTATGCCTACACTATATTGAAGTCTATTAAGTGTGCAATGGCATCATGTTTATAAAAGCCAATGTACATACCCGAATTAAAAATATTTTATTGCTAAAAACTGCTAACAATCATCTCAGCCTTTAGCAAGTTGTAATCTTTTTGCTGGTGGAGGGTCTTGCTTCCATGTTGATGGCTACTGACTGATCAGGGTGGTAACTGCTGAAGCTTGGAGTGTCTGTGGCAGTTTTTAAAAATAAGACAATTAAATTTGCCACATTCATCAAATTTTTCTTTCACAAAAGATTTCTCTGTGGCATGTGATGCTTTTAGACAGTATTTTACCCAGAGTAGAACTTTCAAAATTGGAGTCAGTCCTCTCAAGCCCTGCTGCTGCTTTACCAACTAAGTTTATGTTATATTCTAAATCCTTTGTTGTTATGTTAACAATGTTTATAACATCTTCACCAAGAGTAGATTCCATCTCAAGAAACCATTTCCTTTGCTCTTCCATAAGAAGTGACTCCTTATTCATTCAAATTTCATCACAAGATTGCAGCAATTCAGCTACGTTGTCAGGCTCCATGTCTAATTACAGTTATGTCTAATTACAGTTCTCTTACCGTTTCTATCACATTTGTAGTTACTTCCTCTACTAAAGTGTTAAGCCTGTGAAAGTCATCTATGGGGGTTGGAATGGACTTCCTCCAAATTCCTACTAATGTTGACATTTTGACTTCCTCCCATGAACAGTGAATGTTCTTACTGGCATCTAGAAAGGTGAATGCTTTCCAGAAGGTTTTCAATTTACTTTGTCCAAATTCATCATAAAAATCACTTACATGGCAGCTATGGCCTTATAAAATATATTTCTCAAATAATAAGATTTAAAAGTCAAAAGTACTTCTTGATCTATGGGCTGCAGAATGGATCTTGTGTTAGCAGGCATGAAAACATTGATCTCCTTGTACATCCCCATCGGAGCTCTGGAGTGACCAGGTGCATTGTCAATGGGCAGTCATATTTTGAAAGTTTTTTTTTTCTGAGCAGTAGATCTCAACAGTGGGCTTAAAATATTCAGTGAACCATGCTGTAACCAGATGTGGTGCCATTCAGACTTTGTTGTTGCATTTATAGAACACAGGCAGAGTAGATTTAGCATAATTTTTAAGGTCCATAGTATCTTCAGAATGGTAAGTGAGCACTGGCTTCAACTTCAAATCACCAGCTGCATTAGGCCCTAACAAGAGTCAGACAGTCCTTTGAAGCTCTGAAGCCAGGCATTGACTTCTCTCTAGCTCTGAAAGTCCTAGATGGAACTTTCTTTCAATATAAGCCTGTTTTATCTACGTTGAAAATCTGTTGTTTAGTGTAGCCACCTCCATCAATGGATCTTCACTAGATCTTCTGGATCACCTGCCGCAGTGTCTGCATCAGCATCTGTTGCTTCATTTTGCACTTTCATTTTATGGAGACGGCTTCTTTCCTTAAACCGCAAGAACCAAGCTCTTATCTTCTAAATTTTCTTCTGCAGCTTTCTCATGTTTCTCATAGAGGTGAATAGAATTGAAAAAAGTTAGGGCCTTGCTCTGGCTTAGGCTTTTGCTTAAGGGAATGTTGTTGCAGCTGGTTTGATCTTCTAACAACACCACTACAACTTTCTCCATATCAGCAATGAGGCTGTTTCACGTTCTTTTCTTTTCTTTTCTTTTCTTTTTTTTTGAGATGAAGTCTTGCTTTTGTCCCCTAGGCTGGAGTGCAATGGCACAATCTTGGCTAACTGCAACCTCTGCCTCCTGAGTTCAAGCGATTATCCTGCCTCAGCCTCCCGAGTAGCTGAGATTACAGGCGCCTGCCACCACGTCTGGCTAATTTTTATATTTTTAGTAGAGACAGGGTTTCACCATGTTGGCCAGGCTGGTCTCGAACTCCTGACCTCAGGTGATTTGCCCGCCTCGGCCTCCCAAAGTGCTGGGATTACAGGCGTGAGCCACTGCACCCCACCTGTTTCCCTGTCTTATCATTCATGCATTCATTGGAGTAGCACATTTAATTTCCTTCAAGAATTTTTCCTTTGCATTTAACTTGGCTAATCATCTGACAGAAGAGGCCTAGCTTTTAGCCTGTCTTGGCTTTCAACCTGTCTTCCTCACATGTGACTCTTCCTTTCACTTGAACACTTAGAGACCATTGTAGGTTATTAATTGGCCTAATTTCAAAATTGCTATGTCTCAGGGATTAGGGAGGCCTGAGCAGAGGAAGAGAAATGAGTAAACTGTCAGTCGGTGAAGCAGCCAGAACAAACACATTTACTGATTAAGTTAGCCATCATGTGGGTACAGTTCACAGTGCCTCATAACAATTGCAATAGTAGTATCAAATATCACTGGTAACAGATCACTTCAGCAGATATAATAACAATGAAAAAGTTAGAAACTTTGTGATCATTACCAAAATGTGACAGACACTGTTGGGAAAAATGGCATCAATAGACTTGCTTGATGCAGGGCTGCTGCAAACCTTTAATTTACTGAACACACAATCTCTGTGGAGTGCAATAAGCCCCATAAAACAAGGTACACTCATGCATCAAAAGCAGCTTTAGGGCAGACAACTTTTTTTAGACTGACTATACAGGTAACACTTAACTAAATTGATTGCCTTGGGCAAGAGCAACTACATAAGAGTTAAGGAAAAACTCAGCATTTGATTATTGCTTAATAGTGAAAAAGAATTGCCCGTATAATAACACAATCCTCTCTGAAAAGCAAAATGGGAAGATTTTCTTATAAAATGAAGTGGAAAATGAGTAAACTAACTCTTAAATTAGGACTTGGTGTTGGCAATATCACTCGCTGAGCATGGCAGTTTTCAATTACTAAATTCAGCATTTTTACATTATAACTTTGTCATGTTATGAAAACATGATGACATTTTAAGGTGATGATAGTTCACAGTCTATTACACATTACACAAGGTCATTAAAAAGAAACTATATGGTGATCAGTTGTCACAATTCAGTATCTCACTAACTTCTTGGCCCAGCAATGAGAAAATAAAGGTGTAATATAATAGTGTTATTCATAATAACATGGTTACTCCAAATAAGGATAGAATGTCTTTCAAAGAAGCCAGAGAATCAGTATTTTTTCTCATCAATGTGGAAAAAATTCTATAAAGTGGCTTGATGAAAAAAATTATCATTATCAAAGTTTAAAGACAGAGGAACAAAGGAAGAATAGAAATTTTGGTCAGAGATTAAACAGGACTAATCCCAGTAAACATTTTACAAGTAATATTTTAGAAGCTTCAGTGAAACCTGTGTCTTGGTTGGCTTAATCTTGCATAGATTCAATTACTAATCTTTTTCATGGCTGAACTTTTGGAAATTACTAGCTAGCAAGAATAACTCAGCTGTTGGTGTTATCAGGATTCCTTAGTTAAAATGCCCCTCATTGAATGCAGCAGTTCCCAATTTATTAAAAGAGTAAACCCCAGGAAAAGGAAATAATCCTAAAGAATAGAAGTGAAGAATAAGGCATGAAAATGGGACATGTTCCAGGACACCCATGTATTTATGTTGGGTAGGATATGATGTATAGGAGAGGGGTGAGTCAGGAACTTCCTTGAGTAGGCATATACTCTATTTTCAGTTCTTATCATCTGGTTATGCTGTATTTAATCCAGTCCAACTGTCCATCCAATCCAAACCATAATCATGCTATATTTAATCCAAATCCAATTCAAATCACACAGTACAACCATTTGTAGCATGCAAATTTACTTATCATGAAAAGCACAGATTTTGAGTCTCAAATTCAATGAATTTTCATTAAAAAATATACCTGTGAATCTACTGCCTCAGTTAAGATACAGAACATTTCCATCACTCCAGAAATTTTCCTTGCCCTCTTCCTCACCCTCTGGGCACTATTGCTCTGATTTCTCTCACCATGACAGATTTGTTTTGCTGGCTCTTGAGCTTCATAGAAATGATATCAAATGGCATGTACTCTTCTGACTCTGGCTAGTTTTGAACAGCACAATGCTTTTCAGATACAGCCAACTGGTTTGTGTATCAGTAGCTCATTATTATTTCTTGCAGTATTGAGGTCTGAGTAGACCACTATGCTTTTCCATTTCCCCATTGTTGGACGTTTGGGTTGCTTCCAATATGAGTCTTTTATGGATGGAAGTTTTCCTCTCTTTTAGGTAAATACCTGAGATTGGAACTGCTAAGTCATAGGCTATATATGCCTTTAGTTTGGTAGGAAACTGCTAAACAGATTTCCAAAGTAGTTTTTACGCATTTTACATCATCAATATATGTAAGTTCTAGTCACTCCACATTTTTGCCAATATTTGGTGCTATTAGTCTTTCTAATTCTAGCTATTATGGTGGATGTGAAATGTATATCATTGTGGTTTCAATTTATATTTTCTTGGTGGCTAATGATGTTAATTAAGTATTTTTGAGTTTATTGGTAATTTGTATATTTTCTTTTATGAAACCACTGTTCCAATCTTTTGTTTATTTTTTATTATACTATTTGTCTTTTCATTATTGATTTTAGTTCTTTATATATGAGATACAAGGTCTTTGTCAGAGATATGTATGTGTGGTAAATATTTTCTCCCATTGTATGGCTTACCTTTTTAATTTTCTTAATAGAATATTTGATAAGTAGAATTTTTTTTGTTTTTGTAAAATCCAATGTATCAAGTTTGTGTTTTTGTTTAAGGAACTTGTATTTGTACTGAGACATAGTTTTAATCCTACAGATTCATTCTGGAATTTTAATGGAATACCTGATGAGTTTACTCAGCCCTTTTAATTTGGCAGGGCTTGAACTCCAAACTTTGTCTACGCTGTGGTATATGGCAGCTAAGTTACGCTTAAATCTTGGGCCTTCTAGCCGTTGCTTTTTCCAGCATGGTTTCTCCCCTGTGCATACACAGTTCAGGGTTATCCAAGAATTTAAGGGCAGTATGAATGCCAATTTTAGGACTCTTCCTGTTCTGATTCTCATCTTTCTGGTATTCCCTCTTAATTTTCAGATGTCTAGCAACCCTAACTCCATCCTGTGACACTCCAAGCCAGTAAAACTGCAACTTTATTCTTGAATGCTAGCTGTCTTGATCTGTGTGTGGACTTGGAAGTGTGCTCAGGGGAAAAGCCATGTAACTGCGACTCTTTCCTTGTGCAGTTTCTTCTCTCAAGGGTCATATCTCTTTCAGGTTCTGGCTGCTTTTGTGAAAGGGTTAGTTTGGTATAAGATACTAAGCCAATACTGGAATCAGAACATAACATTTTTCTGTGTGTATATAATCACATTGTTTTCCAGTAGATTGATGGAAGCAAATGGAAGCCATAGTTTTAGGATTATTTTATCTCAAACTGAAATGACACATTTGGAAGTGAAATTTACTTAGGAGAAAATTACAGAAAGTTTCAATGATGATAAAATTATTTTTGTGAGACTTTCTGTAATCATCTAAAAGCTTTTTTCACTTAAAGAAATGCCTACAATTTACTTGTAATCTATTTACCTGAAGTACACCTGAAGAGGCTGGTCTTACTCTAAATTGTAGGTGAAACACTTTTAAGTTTCCTTGTGCTTAGAAGTGACCACTAATGACAGTGCTATAAAATTTTTCTCTTCTCCAGATCTGCTTCTTTTGCATTCTCTAGTGGAATAGATGCTGAATCATTAAACAGAGTGCTGCAGGTGATTCACATTCAAGTCCATCCAACAACATTTGTTGGGTATGGACTGTGCACCAGCACTCTATTCGGTGTCAGACCAGAAGTGAAAGGAGACAGTATCATTTCCTGGTTTTAAATATCCTAGAATCGAGTTGGAAGTAAAATTTTGTGGCAATGTTTAATTCAGAATATGATTTTCTTAGTCTAGATTATATATGTAATTACTGAAAAACTTAAAAAGAAAAAATTAGCATTAACAGCATTATTTAGTGACAGATTAGAGTGGGTTTTGTTCTATGCCTTGAAGAAATTATAAATAAAAAATAATTACAGTATATACTCAATATGAAGGCACATTTTATACAATTCTTGCTTCAATCTCTTCTCTGCACACAGATATGCACAAATTTGCATTATTTTGTCTGAATAAAACATAGAAACAGAAACAGAAAGCTATGAAAGAGGATAAAGAAAGAGGCAAAAGATAGTTTTAGTTTGCATCTAGAGGTGCATTCTCCTTCAAGAAGATGCATTTTGGTAGATACAAAATCTGTAAATACAAAACATACTAAAATGCAAATATAGATAGTATTATAACTTGCTCATATGGAAATCTTCTTAAAACTGGGTTAAATCTTAGAAAAATAAGTAAGATTAATCAGAATAAATTTGGTTGAAAAGAAACGAGAGCAACAACCTAAGAGGGAAAAGTTAACATTTATTCTCTTTGTCAGCAAGAAACCTATTAGAAACCTCTTAGAGTCAGTGATTTGAAGCAAAATTCATTGGTGCTTAGCACAGTAAAAAAACTTTAAAAGAGAGTGAGTGAGAAAGGAAGCATGAGAAGGAATGAGTGAACGAGGGAAAGAGAGATAAAGAATGAAAAGAAAGAGACAGTGGACTATGGGGGGAGGGATAGCAGCTGGAAGAAATGGAATAATTTTATGAAGTTGTAAGATTGCCTATGTGGAATGGAAGCTATAACAATAAGTGATATCATTTGGATCTAAGAACACAGAGTCTAGAGTCAGACCGCCCGGGTGTGAAATGTGAAATCTGACATTCCTCTTATTAGACTGTGTTAACTTCAACGAGCTTAAGTTTCCACATCCCTAACTTGGATAGTTGTCATGTATGTTGTACCAGAGAATGTATAGAGTATATGATAGTCCATTGTTCGTTCACAGCAAACTGTCTATATTTTTAGTCTTTCCTATTGATATTATTAAGGAATAAGGCTGCAATCCTTTAAGTCAGGGCTATCTAACAGAAAGCTTTCAATGCAACAGTTTATATTTGATCCAGAGGTATCAAATATAGAGTAGCAAAAAATGAAATTCAGTAGATGGAAGTTCAAGTGTGAAACACAGCTTGGGAATAGAACATAACAGGAACTAAGTGACTAACATTTGGTTGTAAGGTAGGTATGTAGGCAAGGATTTTCGTTGAGGCAGAAAGAAATATTTGGATTCAAAAGAAGTAGAAAGAAGCAGCTGAACCTGCAAGCTAACAAATTTGGGAGGCAAAAGAGGACAGGCAATGAAGAGTGTCTTGGGACTTCTGGGTTTTGAGATAAGGAGATTCGCTGGAGTGACTGCTCTGATAAGGATGATGAACAATAGGGACAGGGATGGTTCTGAGGGAATTATAGGAAGTTCTCTCCTAGGAAAGAGAAATCACAAATGAGCAGGAGAGCATTAAAATTCATTCTATTGGTAAGTCAGGCAAAACAATCTCATACATAAACTAAAAAGTATACTGACTCCTAACGCATCCTAGGAGAAGCTGGTAAGTCTCTTGCATTCTGTTTCCCTGTGAACTAGAAGACTGTAAAACATTCATCATGATGTTTCGGAGCTGTAGATTTTCAAAACAGAAACACATAAAAACTACAAGTAGAAATATATTTACTTCAAGTAACAGCTTATCAAAATATATAAAATAGTTACTATCACATGAGGAAAGACTCAACAAAGTAAATTAATTTTCAATTTGTTAAAAAAATAGCTGACTTTGGGAGGTCTTATATGCTTATTGTTTGTTGTTATTGTTTGTTTAATTGAATGAAGCTGAGAATCCAATGTTTACCTAAACAAAACTAACACATCTTTTTGAAACATATTTTCACTTTAGATTTCTGCTCTAAAAATGTGATTATTTCTGCATAATTACACATCTGTTCACTGTCTACTGATAATTTTCTTTTACAATTTTCTTCATGCCCATGAGCAATATATTTCTTATCAAATCATACACTTGAACATTGCATCAAAATGCCGAATATCAAAACAAATACATTAAGTATTAAGCCAGATATATTTTGAAATTAAATACACCAGCCATAAACCAGATCCGTATTAAATCAATTATATTGTATGTAGAAGAACCTCATAAATGTCCATGTAATACATTAAATCTGATCTATCAAAAACCAATATCCAACAATGAGACAGATCGTGTTTTCACAAGTAATATCCAACTGATATATCAAATCAGACACTTATTAATCAAAACATTGAGCATTGTTAATGCTACAACACAAAACAATGTAACGTAATTTTTACTTGCATCTGGAAAAAGTCTTAATATAATAACTTGGTCATTCTCAAGTAGCCTTTCTTTTCTTTTTTTCTTTTTCTTTTTTTTTTAAGACCGAGTCTCACTCTGTCGCCCAGGCTGGAGTGCAGTGACGCGATCTCGGCTCACCGCATGCTCCGCCTCCCGAGTTCACCGCATTCTTCTGCCTCAGCCTCCCGAGTAGCTGGGACTACAGGCGCCTGCCACCATGCCCAGCTAATTTTTTGTATTTGTAGTAGAGACAGGGTTTCACCGTGTTAGCCAGGATGGTTTTGATCTTCTGACCTCGTGATCGCCCTCCTCGGCCTCCCAAAGTGCTGGGACTGCAGGCGTGAGCCACCGCACCCAGCCCTCAAGTAGCCTTTATTTTCTAAGAAAGCCATATTGGGGTATTAGAAATATTATTAGCGATAGCCTAAGAAGAATTTATTGTACATTAAACATATACAATTGCAATATTTCTAGAAATTACAAAGGTTTACTAGGGCTAATTTGTATCTGAATGGCTCAATAGTGAACTAGATAATAAACACAAGGCAATAGGAAATTAGCAAAAAGTGCATAGCCTTTACATATAGATCTCATTTCGAACCCAGTTCTGCCACACAGATGTAGAATAAACAAATAATTTACTTAACTACTCGGGACCTCAGTTTTCTCAGCCATAAAATTCGTGTCAAAATACTTTCCTTGTGGAGTTTTGAACACTAGCGACAAGGCAAGAAAAATAAATATCTAGCACAGTGCCTGCCACATAATAGGCGATCAATACATGGTAGGTAGAAATTGTTATTAATGTGGTACCTGAAGAGCAAATAACGATCTCATTTTATTTGTATTCTATATGATCTTTACACAGAAATTAAAGTAATATAATGATGAGGGAATCTTAAAATATTGGAAGAATATTTTCACGGTAATATTATTACCAGGAAGAATTGTGGAAAGTTAGTTGTGCAAACTTCTAGGGCAATAAAAGGCCTATAGGTAAGAAGAAATCAGGGATAAGTCATTTAATAGCTCTCAAGAGAGTGACAATGGTAGAGAAATTATAACACAAACATTTTTACTGAGTTCTTACTGCATCCCTGACACTGAGCAAAATGCTTTTCATGCAGTGTTTCATTAAGTTTTACAATAACTTCATGAGTAGGTATTATTCCCATTTTACAAATATTGGGACTGAGTGAAGATTAGAGGGGATCAATAATTTGCCCAAGTTCCCACAGCAAGTAAATACAGGGCTGGGTTTGGCTCCTAATAACAGATATCAGAACTTGGTCTAGTTGTGAAAAGATTATGTAATGCATGAAAAGAAGGCATACACACACAATTATGAAATGTTAAATACTAATAAAATTAAATCTCAATGTACCCACGATAAGGTGTCATAAGAGAGGCCACAACTAAATGCTAAGGAATTTCATGAACAATCGACATTGAAGAAAGGGATATTACAGGAGGCTTCCTAAAAAGATGAAAGCCAAGTTGGATCCTACAAGATAGAGGCCTGGAGGTCACCATTGTTTGAGGAGAGCAGGCAGCATGTCTTAAAAAGCAGGGGAGTGGAGGGAGGAGCCAAGATGGCTGAATAGGAACAGCTCTGGTCTACAGCTCCCAGCCTGAGCGATGCAGAAGATGGGTGATTTCTGCATTTCCATCTGAGGTACCGGGTTCATCTCACTAGGGAGTGCCAGACAGTGGGTGCAGGTCAGTGGGTGCGTGCACCGTGCATGA
This sequence comes from Homo sapiens, assembly GCF_000001405.40. NCBI lineage: Eukaryota > Metazoa > Chordata > Mammalia > Primates > Hominidae > Homo > Homo sapiens. The sequence continues at coordinate 93,594,911 of NC_000004.12, read as the reverse complement.
GCCGAAGCAGGGCGAGGCATTGCCTCACTCGGGAAGCGCAAGGGGTCAGGGAGTTCCCTTTCCTAATCAAAGAAAGGGGTGATGGACGGCACCTGGAAAATCGGGTCACTCCCACCCGAATACTGCGCTTTTCCGACGGGCTTAAAAAACGGCGCACCACGAGATTATATCCCGCACCTGGCTCAGAGGGTCCTACCCCACGGAGTCTCATTGATTGCTAGCACAGCAGTCTGAGATCAAGCTGCAAGGTGGCAGCGAGGCTGGGGGAGGGGCGCCCGCCATTGCCCAGGCTTGCTTAGGTAAACAAAGCAGCCTGGAAGCTCGAACTGGGTGGAGCCCACCACAGCTCAAGGAGGCCTGCCTGCCTCTGTAGGCTCCACCTCTGGGGGCAGGGCACAGACAAACAAAAAGACAGCAGTAACCTCTGCAGACTTAAATGTCCCTGTCTGACAGCTTTGAAGAGAGCAGTGGTTCTCCCAGTACGCAGCTGGAGATCTGAGAATGGGCGGACTGCCTCCTCAAGTGGGTCCCTGACCCCTGACCCCCGAGCAGCCTAACTGGGAGGCACCCTCCAGCAGGGGCACACTGACACCTCACACTGCAGGGTACTCCAACAGACCTGCAGCTGAGGGTCCTGTGTGTTAGAAGGAAAACTAACAAACAGAAAGGACATCCACACCAAAAACCCATCTGTACATCACCATACCAAAGACCAAAAGTAGATAAAACCACAAAGATGGGGAAAAGACAGAACAGAAAAACTGGAAACTCTAAAAAGCAGAGTGCCTCTCCTCCTCCAAAGGAATGCAGCTCCTCACCAGCAACGGAACAAAGCTGGACGGAGAACGACTTTGACGAGCTGAGAGAAGAAGGCTTCAGACGATCAAATTACTCTGAGCTACGGGAGGACATTCAAACCAAAGGCAAAGAAGTTGAAAACTTTGAAAAAAATTTAGAAGAATGTATAACTAGAATAACCAATACAGAGAAGTGCTTAAAGGAGCTGATGGACCTGAAAACCAAGGCTCGAGAACTACGTGAAGAATGCAGAAGCCTCAGGAGCCGATGCGATCAACTGGAAGAAAGGGTATCAGCAATGGAAGATGAAATAAATGAAATGAAGCGAGAAGGAAAGTTTAGAGAAAAAACAATAAAAAGAAACGAGCAAAGCCTCCAGGAAATATGGGACTATGTGAAAAGACCAAATCTACGTCTGATTGGTGTACCTGAAAGTGATGGGGAGAATGGAACCAAGTTGGAAAACACTCTGCAGGATATTATCCTGGAGAATTTCCCCAATCTAGCAAGGCAGGCCAACGTTCAGATTCAGGAAATACAGAGAACGCCACAAAGATACTCCTCGAGAAGAGCAACTCCAAGACACATAATTGTCAGATTCACCAAAGTTGAAATGAAGGAAAAAATGTTAAGGGCAGCCAGAGAGAAAGGTCGGGTTACCCTCAAAGGGAAGCCCATCAGACTAACAGCGGATCTCTCGGCAGAAACCCTACAAGCCAGAAGAGAGTGGGGGCCAATATTCAACATTCTTAAAGAAAAGAATTTTCAACCCAGAATTTCATATCCAGCCAAACTAAGCTTCATAAGTGAAGGAGAAATAAAATACTTTACAGACAAGCAAATGCTGAAAGATTTTGTCACCACCAGGCCTGCCCTAAAAGAGCTCCTGAAGGAAGCGCTAAACATGGAAAGGAACAACCGGTACCAGCTGCTGCAAAATCATGCCAAAATGTAAAGCCCATCGAGACTAGGAAGAAACTGCAACTAACAAGCAAAATAACCAGCTAACATCATAATGACAGGATCAAATTCACACATAACACTATTAACTTTAAATGTAAATGGACTAAATTCTCCAATTAAAAGACACAGACTGGCAAATTGGATAAAGAGTCAAGACCCATCAGTGTGCTGTATTCAGGAAACCCATCTCACGTGCAGAGACACACATAGGCTCAAAATAAAAGGATGGAGGAAGATCTACCAAGCAAATGGAAAACAAAAAAAGGCAGGGGTTGCAATCCTAGTCTCTGATGAAACAGACTTTAAGCCAACAAAGATCAAAAGAGACAAAGAAGGCCATTACATAATGGTAAAGGCATCAATTCAACAAGAAGAGCTAACTGTCCTAAATATGTATGCACCCAATACATGAGCACCCAGATTCATAAAGCAAGTCCTGAGTGACCTACAAAGAGACTTAGACTCCCACACATTAATAGTGGGAGACTTTAACACCCCACTGTCAACATTAGACAGATCAACGAGACAGAAAGTCAACAAGGATACCGAGGAATTGAACTCAGCTCTGCACCAAGCAGACCTAATAGACATCTACAGAACTCTCCACCCCAAATCAACAGAATATACATTTTTTTCAGCACCACACCACACCTATTCCAAAATTGACCACATACTTGGAAGTAAAGCACTCCTCAGCAAATGTAAAAGAACAGAAATTATAACAAACTACCTCTCAGACCACAGTGCAATCAAATTAGAACTCAGGATTAAGAATCTCACTCAAAATCGCTCATCTACATGGAAACTGAACAACCTCCTCCTGAATGACTACTGGGTACATAACGAAATGAAGGCAGAAATAAAGATGTTCTTTGAAACCAACGAGAACAAAGACACAACATACCAGAATCTCTGGGATGCATTCAAAGCAGTGTGTAGAGGGAAATTTATAGCACTAAATGCCCACAAGAGAAAGCCGGAAAGATCTAAAATTGACACCCTAACATCACAATTAAAAGAACTAGAAAAGCAAGAGGAAACAAATTCAAAAGGTAGCAGAAGGCAAGAAATAACTAAAATCAGAGCAGAACTGAAGGAAATAGAGACACAAAATACCCTTCAAAAAATTAATGAATCCAGGAGCTGGTTTTTTGAAAGGATCAACAAAATTGATAGAGCACTAGCAAGACTAATAAAGAAAAAAAGAGAAAAGAATCAAATAGACGCAATAAAAAATGATAAAGGGGATATCACCACCGATCCCACAGAAATACAAACTACCATCAGAGAATACTATAAACACCTCTACGCAAATAAACTAAAAAATCTAGAAGAAATGGATAAATTCCTCGACACATACACTCTCCCAAGACTAAGCCAGGAAGAAGTTGAATCTCTGAATACACCAATAACAGGATCTGAAATTGTGGCAATAATCAATACCTTACCAACCAAAAAGAGTCCAGGACCAGATGGATTCACAGCCGAATTCTACCAGAGGTACAAGGAGGAACTGGTACCATTCCTTCTGAAACTATTCCAATAAATAGAAAAAGAGGGAATCCTCCCTAACTCATTTTATGAGGCCAGCATCATTCTGATACCAAAGCCCGGCAGAGACAGAACCAAAAAAGAGAATTTTAGACCCATATCCCTGATGAACATTGATGCAAAAATCCTCAATAAAATACTGGCAAACCGAATCCAGCAGCACATCAAAAAGCTTATCCACCATGGTCAAGTGGGCTTCATCCCTGGGATGCAAGGCTGGTTCAATATACGCAAATCAATAAATGTAATCCAGCATATAAACAGAGCCAAAGACAAAAACCACATGATTATATCAATAGATGCAGAAAAGGCCTTTGACAAAATTCAACAACTTTTCATGCTAAAAACTCTCAATAAATTAGGTATTGATGGGACATATTTCAAAATAATAAGAGCTATCTATGACAAACCCACAGCCAATATCATACTGAATGGGCAAAAACTGGAAGCATTCCCTTTGAAAACTGGCACAAGACAGGGATGCCCTCTCTCACCACTCCTATTCAACATAGTGTTGGAAGTTCTGGCCAGGGCAATTAGGCAGGAGAAGGAAATAAAGGGTATTCAATTAGGAAAAGAGGAAGTCCAATTGTCCCTGTTTGCAGATGACATGATTGTATATCTAGAAAACCCCATCGTCTCAGCCCAAAATCTCCTTAAGCTGATAAGCAACTTCAGCAAAGTCTCAGGATACAAAATCAATGTGCAAAAATCACAAGCATTCCTATACACCAACAACAGACAAACAGAGAGCCAAATCATGAGTGAACTCCCATTCACAATTGCTTCAAAGAGAATAAAATACCTAGGAATCCAACTTACAAGGGATGTGAAGGACCTCTTCAAGGAGAACTACAAACCGCTGCTCACGGAAATAAAAGAGGATACATACAAATGGAAGAACATTCCATGCTCATGGGTAGGAAGAATCAATATCGTGAAAATGGCCATACTGCCCAAGGTAATTTACAGATTCAATGCTATCCCCATCAAGCTACCAATGCCTTTCTTCAGAGAATTGGAAAAAACTACTTTAAAGTTCATATGGAACCAAAAAAGAGCCCGCATCGCCAAGTCAATCCTAAGCCAAAAGAACAAAGCTGGAGGCATCACACTACCTGACTTCAAACTATACTACAAGGCTACAGTAACCAAAACAGCATGGTACTGATACCAAAACAGAGATATAGATCAATGGAACAGAACAGAGCCCTCAGAAATAACGCCACCTATCTACAACTATCTGATCTTTGACAAACCTGACAAAAACAAGAAATGGGGAAAGGATTCCCTATTTAATAAATGGTGCTGGGAAAACTGGCTAGCCATATGTAGAAAGCTGAAACTGGATCCCTTCCTTACGCCTTATACAAAAATCAGTTCAAGATGGATTAAAGACTTAAAACGTTAGACCTAAAACCATAAAAACCCTAGAAGAAAACCTAGGCATTACCATTCAGGACATAGGCATGGGCAAGGACTTCATGTCTAAAACACCAAAAGCAATGACAACAAAAGACAAAACTGACAAATGGGATCTAATTAAACTAAAGAGCTTCTGCACAGCAAAAGAAACTACCATCAGAGTGAACAGGCAACCTACAAAATGGGAGAAAATTTTCACAACCTACTCATCTGACAAAGGGCTAATATCCAGAATCTACAATGAACTCAAACAAATTTACAAGAACAAAACAAACAACCCCATCAACAAGTGGGCAAAGGACATGAACAGACACTTCTCAAAAGAAGACATTTATGCAGCCAAAAAACACATGAAAAAATGCTCACCATCACTGGCCATCAGAGAAATGCAAATCAAAACCACAAGGAGATACCATCTCACACCAGTTAGAATGGCAATCATTAAAAAGTCAGGAAACGACAGGTGCTGGAGAGGATGTGGAGAAATAGGAACACTTTTACACTGTTGGTGGGACTGTCAACTAGTTCAACCATTGTGGAAGTCAGTGTGGCGATTCCTCAGGGATCTAGAACTAGAAATACCATTTGACCCAGCCATCCCATTACTGGGTATATACCCAAATGACTATAAATCATGCTGCTATAAAGATACATGCAGATGTATGTTTATTGCGGCATTATTCACAATAGCAAAGACTTGGAACCAACCCAAATGTCCAACAATGATAGACTAGATTAAGAAAATGTGGCACATATACACCATGGAATACTATGCAGCCATAAAAAATGATGAGTTCATGTCCTTTGTAGGGACATGGATGAAATTGGAAACCATCATTCTCAGTAAACTATCGCAAGAACAAAAAAACCAAACACCACATATTCTCACTCATAGGTGGGAATTGAACAGTGAGATCACATGGACACAGGAAAGGGAACATCACACACTGGGGACTGTTGTGGGGTGGGGGGAGGGGGGAGGGATAGCATTGGGAGATATACCTAATGCTAGATGACGAGTTAGTGCGTGCAGCACACCAGCATGGCACACGTATACGTATGTAACTAACCTGCACAATGTGCCCATGTACCCTAAAACTTAAAGTATAATAATAATAAAATAAATAAATAATAAAAAAAAAAGCAGGGGAGTGCAGAATCATGAACGTTGTTGAATTCTACGCTGAAAAGCTAGGACTTCATTCTGGGTATAATGTATATGATGAACCTGCTGGAGAGTTCATGCCCCATTGAACTTGATGGGGCAAAATGGCAAAATCAGGAACCTGCTGCTTGTTGTATAGCTGGAAAGCAGGTCCAGTGTTGTCAAATGTTCTGATTTGTTCAGAGAAATAAAAAAAATCCACATTACAAATTTATCTTGTTGTCAGGGAATGCAAGTATTTTTAAACATTTCTCAGGCCTTGGCCTTCAGGGGACCAGTACTGGGAGAAGGGGCAGGGCTCAGACTTAGTTTACCCATCTGCTGTAGGCAATTGTGAGTGTGACTCTGCAGCCTTTAAAGGAAGTTTCTCATTGACTTCAGTGGAGAAGCTGGGTGGGTATGAATCAGAATGAGAGCATTAGCTGATGGCAACAGAAAAACATAGACAATAATACTGAGATTTGATGCATTTTCTGTTTGCCTTCTCCCTTGAATAGTTACTGCAAAGTAAAAGGATGTAAATAATAAACCATCCTCATTCTTACAGAAACACTGGTGATCGACTGTTTGCATTGGCTTATAGGTTATCTATAACTCTGAACCCTAATTTTTTGTAGTCCTGTATGACATTAATGTAAATTAATGGAGAGGAAAACATTTACAACATAATGAATGTGTATAAAAAACCTATTATTCCAACTGCAAAAAAAATTTTGATTGTTTTATAAATGTTCTTTAGCTTATTCATTTAAAAATAATGTCTGTCTCTCCCTCCTTCCCTCCCCCTTTCTTCTTTTTATATTCTTTAGGTGGTAGTTTCTATTTGGAAAAATCACCTCTTAAAATTTACCATATAACATGTAAGTACAACTTTACAAGTTCTTGACCATATTTTTTATTTGTTCATACTTTTCATGAAGGTATTTTCATACTACCTTACATGTTAACATTTTCATTTCCAAATTGAAAGACCACTGCATTGTTTCTAGACTAACCATAAAGTAACAGCAAAGGTTAATATAGGATTATTATCTCTGGATTCTTGGATCATCCCTGGGTTTATCTAATTTTGCAGAAAGAATGATTATCTGATAACCGCTTTTAATAATATGCAAAATGTTTCTTAATTATTCCTTTCAAGAAATCCACATCAACCTTACTTCAATTTCTCTTTCCTTTGGAAGCTTTTCTTTGAGTGATTGAATGCATTTATATGTAATTTACTCATAAAATTATAACAGGGCTAGGTAGAAAACAATGATTATAATGTAATATAATAAATTTTCTTTACCATTGGAGTAAAATATCTAAATAGAAAGTTAACCTTAGAACACAGTGTAAAAGACTAGAAAATATTAGAGAAAGTACAAGAAATATTGAAGATAGTGGAAATCCTAAAAGCTCAGTAATACTAAAATGAGGCCATGGATAGATTTCAAGGAGCCTTTGGATAGAAAAAAGAAATTACATGTTTTAAAATATACTCTAACTAAAATTTAATAACTCCCCCAAATATGGATGTAGGCAAAAATCACAGTAGTATTAGCAGTACATGTCACTTTGCTATCAGCAAAAATTACAGGTATTTTCATGATAGTATTATTGCTGCAAGTATCTCAAAATACAATCTGTGCTCATCAGTAGTGCAGAATTAACATATCTATCAAATACGTTGCTAGATTTTGTTATTGATGCATTCATAATTGTATTCCTATATTATACTTTTTAATATTTAGATAACTGCATTTTAATAAAATTGGTTTCCTTTGTAATCCTGTGCATCTAATTTTATACAATTTTAAATATAGTTATATAGGCTGTGCTCAGTGTCTCGAGCAGTCTGTGGCACAAAGAATGCTGGGTAGAAGTTTCAGAGGCAGAGAACAGAGGGAATAAAGAGAAATGATAGACAGAAAGAAACTTCATAGAGGAGAAGAGATCTAAGTCTTTAGATTAAATGAATTCAGTCAACATCAGTGTCTGAAAGTGATTAGCTCTCTTGGGAGGAGATTGGGGCTGTGTGGAGGATGTATAATTTATTCTAATTACTTTCACTTTATTTGAATTTTTTAACAACCTGAATGTATTCTTCCATGAATTTTTTAAAAGGGTACATATGTATGAGGTTAAAAAAGAGAGAAGAAAGAGAAGGTAATACTTTGGTATTACTGAAGCAACTGCCCATGCTAGGGAAGATCAGCATCTGAGCATTCCAGATCATCAACAGCCTTTGTGTCCTGATCTTACAAGTTTCAATTCAGCAACAGGTCCAGTGGAACAGAAGGTTTTGCATCCAGACCATCATCCTAGGATTGAACCCTAGCTCCATCATGAACTGGCTCAGTAGTCTTGAGTAAATCATCTAAGCTTTCTGACATTCAGTTTCTTCATTTATAAAATTAGGGTAATATCTATCTTACCAGACTGATATCAGATGAGAGCTAATGCAAATATATGTATGTCAAGTGTCTAGAATAGTGTTTCACATATAATAGGCACAAAAATGGCAATCACCATTATTATTGATCTTAGGCTGAAAGCTAGGGCAAGCTATTTAAGGATTTATAAAACTACTTAATGGCAGAGGGGTACTCATTTGAATGGAGTCAAGAATCTAGGGATAGAGACAGATTAGGTCTTACTGTAATGTAGGTGAGCAGAAGAATTGGAGATAAGGTGAAGGATATGAGAAAAGTTTAGGAGACAGGTATCTCCAGATTTGGTGGCCAGATAAGTCCTGAGTATGAGGGAAACATCTGGTGACCCCAGATGTCTGAACTGGTTGAATGATACGGGTGGTGGTACATCTGCAGAAATGCCAGGTTTTGGGCAAAGGATGATATGATTAGTTTGGAATATGTGGAAATTAAGATCTCTAGGATCACTCAAGTAGTTTAAGTAGTCAAGCATAAAATGTGCTTGGATATAGAGGTCAGACACTCAGGAGTAGAATCTCTGCTGGAGCCATAGGTTTGGCTGTCATCAATTTAACAGATATTAACAAACTCATGGGTTTATGTAAAATCACCACAGGAAAGTGCAAAACATGAGAATGAAGGGCTCGGGATAAAGTTCTAGCACACATGAACAATTTAAGCAAGAGCATCTTTTATTTATTTATTCAGTAACTAAAGGTGGATATGCCATGTACAAGAGAGTCTTCAAAAAGTTCATAGAAAATGTGTGTTATGAAAAAACTATGCATAGATTTCATTTTTTTTGTACCAAAATAACTTGTATTAACTTGTTATAACATGTCTGGGCAGGATCTAGTTTGAAGCATGAAGAAGGATAAGATACCAGTTTGAAAGGTGCCCCTATTAGCAACATGAACTCCCCTAAAATTGAGGCAAGAGCAAACATCAAATTTATGGAGAAGCTGGGGTGGAAGAATAATGAAATGATTAATGCTTTGCACAAATTTTATGAGGACAATGCCCCACAAGAAAGCAGTTTACAAATGGACCTCATTTTAAGAAGGGTTGAGACCATGTTGTGGGATGAAGCCCTCAGCAGCAGACCATCCACATCACTTTGTGGGAAAAAAAGTTAATCTTGTTGATGCCCTAATTGAAAAAGACCAGTGAAACAACAGTCAACACCATAGACATCTTAATTGACTCAGCGTACACAATTCTAACTGCAAAATTAAAGTTGAGCAAACTTTCCACTTGCTGGGTGCCAAAATCATTGTGCCCAGATCACTCACAGACAAAAACGGAGCTTTCAATGAAAATATTAAACAAATGAGATCAAGATCCTGAGGGATTTCTTTGAAGAATCGTAACAGGAGGTGAAACACAGGTTTGCCAGTATGATCCTGAAAATAAACTCAATCAAAGAAATTGCTACTAAGAGGTGAACTTGGTCTAGGCAAAGCAAAAGTGGACTGGTAATAGCAAAGGCCAAGGTAACAGTTTTTTGGGATGCTCAAGGTATTTTGCTTGTTGACTTTCTGGAGGGCCAAAGAATGATAACCTCTGCTTATTATGAAAGTGTTTTGAGAAAGTTAGCCAAAGTTCTAGCAGAAAAACATCCAGGAAAGCTTCACCAGAGAGTCCTTCTCCACCACGACAATGCTCCTACTCATTCCTCTCATCAATCAAGGGCAATTTTATGAGACATTTGATGGGAAATCATTAGGCATCCACTTTATAGTCCTGATTTAGCTCCTTTTGACTGATTTTTGTTTCCTAATCTTAAAAAAATCTGTAAAGGATACCCATTTTCTTCAGTTAATTATGCAGAAAAGACAGCATAAACATAGTTAAATTCCCAGGACCCTCAGTTCTTTAGGAATGGAGCAAATGGATGGTATCATCATTTACAAAAATGTCTTGAACTTGATGGAGCTTATATTAAGAGCTTATGTTAAATTCCATTTCTAATGAATTTTTTGAAATCCCCAATATATTCTTTGACTCATACTTTTATTGTATCCTCTTACAAAAAGAGAATAAATTTAAGACTAGAACACAATAGTTCAATCAATAAGAGAAAGGAAGTATCCCTCATGTCAAAAAACAACATTTTCAACCATTGAGGGATAGTATAATAAAGAAAGGAAGAAAATTTTTTTCAAAAGCTCTACTTAAATGTTTATCAAAAAGAATTGTTAATGTATTTACTGATTCTGTCAACATCCTCAAATACTTATCCTATTTAAGGACCAGTATTCAAAATGTTCATATTATTTTTTCCCAGTTTTATTTATTAACCAATATAGTGACAATATTGCTTTCTAGTTTGTTTGTTGGCTTATGTTTACTTTCAAAGTTATGTTATAAGAGAGCCTTTAGAGGGATAGCCCTTCTATTTAAAATATTTTTCAAGAAATATGTTTTTTCCCAAGGTAAATTCATTTAGTAAGTCAAGGAACTTCTAGATATATTTTACTCAGAAACAGTTGTGTCTTTATGAAACTGTTTTTATTTCATTTGTGATCTAAGACCGGAACCCTAAAATTCTTTCCAATTTAATAGAGGTCATTTTTCAATGACTCTAGAGAAATGTTTCAGCATTTTCCATCTGCTTCCTGTGGTTCCCAAATCCAATAGGACTGTTTAGTGATGTCTTGTTCATTGGTTTGTTTTCTCTTTTTTCACTACTCTTCAAACTTTTGAAGTTCTAGTTGTTGTTGTGCTATTGTTGTAGTTTGTTTGCAAAAAGCTTGAAGGCTATGTATTAGTTGTCAATTGCTAGTGTATAAGCTTGGAGGTGAATTCAAAAGTGAGAACTGAAGGAGAATGGATGTGTCTGAGGAACGGCCTTGGACAGAATGGACCCTAAGATGAGAATACTGGAAAATTGGAAGAGAGAGAAATTTTGTTATATCTGATTCTGACCCCTGCCACTTCCTAGGTATATAATGCTGGTCAAGTTACTGAGCCTTTTTGAACTTCAGTTTTTTATGTGTACTATAATAATATAACTACTTGCCAGGATTGTTATGGGGATTGGATGTTTGTAAAGTATCCAGCACTATGCCAAGAATATAGCAAAAAACATTCAATGAGAATCATTGTTATCTTTCTTCCTCTCATTATCATTTAGCATTGAGAAAATTCCCAAGAACTGGATCAATATTAATAATAACAGAAAAAAACGTCCACAGCACCGAAGAAGAAAGCAGCTAATGATTTGCTGTTATTTATTTTTTAAGCAAAGAGAAGTGTAACACAAACTAGAAAGTTAATTATAAAGAATAATTCCTTCATACATAATTATACCTGTAGCGAGTTAAATAGTGCCCCCCTCGAAATTCATGTCCATCTTGAACCTCAGAATGTGACCTTGTTTGGAAATAGGTTTTTGAAGACATAACTAAGGATCTGGATGAAGATTAGGATGATTCTAACTTTAATGAAAGTATATTTGTGAGAGACCGAAAAGGACACATGGAGACGTAGAGACGACCATGATGTAAAGATGGAGGCAGAGATGGGAGTGATGCTCCCACAAGCCAAGGAATGCCTGGAGCCACCAGAAGATGGAAGAGGCAGGACAGGATGGATGCTTTCTTAGAGACTTCAGAGAGAGTGTGGCCCTGCCAACACCTTGATTTCGAATTTCTAGCCTCCAGAACTTTGAGAGAAATTTCTGTTATTTTGAGCCAGGAAGCTTGTGGTGACTTGTTATGGCAGCCCTAGGAAATTAATACAATGTCATACAAAATCGTTTCTATTGAAGGGGCTTTGTTCTCTCACCCTTTAAAGAACCTAAGGAATTATTTATTTCCCCAATCTAAATATAATCTCACAATTCCGTTTCTTTTTTCTCCTTATTTTATTATTAAAAAAAACACAAATACATAACAAGTAAGGTCTCCATTATTAAACTGGAATATGAGAGAGATAAATACATTTTGTAAGTGTCAGAAATTATATTTATTTTAGGCAAATGTCTGAGATGATCGCTACTTCTCATTCTATTTCTGATAAACCTGAAGAAACTGTAAAACTAAAGCAACGTCTAGTGAGAAACAAGTTAAAATAATTCTTTTAAGTTAAGAGGGCAGTGTGGTGGGCAGAATAATGCTTTATCCCACTCCAATATGTCTACCTTCCAATCCCTAAAATCTGTCCATATGATACCATAGATGACAAAAGAGACTTTGCAAATATGATTAGGGTGAGAATTTTCAGATGGGGAGATTATCTGGGATGATCCAGTTGGGCCTAATCTTAAAGGACAAGGGTCCTTTTAAGAGACAGTCAGGAGGGTCAGAGACAGAGGGAGATTGGATGATACGATGCTGTTGGCTTTGAAAATGGAGGAAAAGGCTTTGAGTTCAGAAATGTAGGTGACTTGTAGGAGCTGAAAAAGACAAGGGAATGGGCTCTCTCCTAAAACCTCCAGGAAGAAAACAGACCTGCTGACACCTTAATTTTAGCCAGTAAGATCCATTTTGAACATGTGACCCAGAGAAGTATAAAATAGCAAATTTGTGTTGTTTTAAGCCATGTTTGTAATAATTTGTTACAGGAGCAACAGGAAATCAATACATGGAGCACAAAATATGCAGAGACTTTCTATAAAATATAAGGAAAAATTTCAACCACAAAATCTTATGTTTTTAAGAGTTGACATTTCTATCTTCAATGATAATGAACAAAAGAGAACATGGCATCTCTTTAAAAACAGGAGTTCCTGAGGATCCAAAGTACTGCTCAGTCTAATTTGCAAACTGAGTGTCACATCACATAAAATTATTCAATAATGCAGGATTGATAGAGAAAGAGTTCTCCATCAGGATAGAGATATCCTGATAGAGATATGCAGGATATTTCAGTGAAAGAGTTCTGAGTTAATTAGCAGACATAGAATTTAGCCCTGACTATCTCTAGCAGGTTGTAGGTTTAGGGTAAGTTACTTAATTTCCTTGGATATCAATTTTCTCATCTGTACATGAGTAGGTTCGGCATTTGGTCCTTTCTAGTTTAAACAAGCTATAAGACAGAAACAAAAACAAAAACAGTTCAGAGCAGCCCTCTTAACTCTGTGACTCTTGGCTTCCCTAACATTATCAATTTAAAATATTTTATATTTCCAGATTTACTATAACATATTTACGGATATAAATGCTGTGTAGTTTAGGGATTAATTGATGAACATGGAGGCCCTGGATATACCTTGAGTTCTGTTTTATTCTACAAATAACTCTTTCTACTTTTTTCACTTTGATTTTTGGATAATTAACCATTTATAATAAGCCCCATTTCAGTGAGACTTATGAATAAGAAAATATTCTCCTTTCACCTCTATCACTCAGGAAATTCCAAAAATCTAAACTAACACAAGAAGAGAAAACCAAACAATGCATGTTCTTGCTCATAAGCGGGAGTTGAACAATGAGAACACATGGACACAGGGAGGGGAACACTACACACGGGGGGCTGTTGGGGGGTGGGGGACTAGGGGAGGGATAGCATGAGGAGAAATACCTAATGCAGATGATGGGTTGATGGGTGCAGCAAACCACCATGGCACGTGTATACCTATATAACAAACCCGCATGTTCTGCACATGTATCCCAGAACTTACATTAAATATATAATATATATAAAATGACAATTTGCAAATACTGTAATCTGCACATGTATCCCAGAAGTTAAATTGTATATATATATATAATGACAATTTGCAAATGCTATACATCAGGTTATTGTTATTTTGTGGTATGGGGGTTACTGGGGGGGGTTGTTTTGAGAACTGGATATTAAACGCTTACCAATACCAAAAAAAAGAAAAAAAAAATGCTCTTTGCCAGGGACTGGGGAAGAGGATCTCACTTTCCACTTTCCTCAGTGACAGTTTTCTGACAATTAACCATGTAATGCTTTGCAGAGTGTTTCAAAAATATGCCAAGGGAAGTGGTGATGCTCATTTAGAATATGGCATCATGACATACGAAACAAAAAACTGCCTAAAACATTCATGCCTGGTGCAACAAAACAGTTATCAAGTCTCTAGATGACAAAACAGTCAACTTTCATAGCTATCTTGTAAGTTTTATTCCATACTGCAGTCAATTATGGATACATGTGGCTGAACTACAAGCCTGAAAACACAGGAGTTCTTTCTCGAAATATTCAGAAAGAAACAATTTTTGTGCGTCAGTGGGTGCTATTGCATCAACACATCAGTATCTCTCCCCACTTGCCTACTTTTATGGTAGGAAACGGGGAAGAATAAGATAATAGTTCATCTGTCACAGTTTAACAAAAGCTTCCTATCACCTTCTCCATGTTCAACTGATCTGTTGATATGGCTGCATAATGTCTCATTCTAGAAGTTCTAGAGACTGTGCAGAGCAAATGCTGGCAGCACTTCACTGAAAAATCTCACCCCTACACACCAAAGAAGAAATGTTTTCATCAATATTCACTGAAGTCACTGGCACTCATTCTTTTTTATATTAATTGTACATCTGTTATGTGCCTTCTACAAAAATGAAAAGGCAGAATACAGATGAAATATCAGAGATGTAAACTCAGTCCATTCTTCAAAATAATTTTTGGAGAGCCTTAATAACAAAGAACATAGATCAGAGCATTGGAGATGATCCGAATGACAGATGCATGCACATCTTCTCTGCCAGTCAGTCTTATTTTCCTCCTGATCACTCAGTCTTTGGTTGGATAAAGAAGTGACAGGGATAAAGAAAACGAAAGCAAGAGGGAGTTGGAAAGCCTGAGAGGAATGTTAAGCAAACCTTAGACATGTGGACTCTCTTTAGGGCCAGATGTAGGCTAAGGGAGATTGGTGTGGGCAAGCGTTGCCTCAATGCATCCTAAACAAATGCAGGCTCACTGAGAAGCCCCTAGAGCTCAAGGTCAGTGTCCCTCAGTTGTCTGGCAAAATTAACATACTTTAATTGCAATCAGTCAAGACCACTGTCTCTTTCAACACCAACTACCCCTCTATCATACTTCCCATTGGTCAGGTGGCGATGGAATAGCCTTAAGTATTTTTTTTGCATGAGGGTAAGAGGAATTTCACTTGGGTATATTTTAAATAAGTTTAGGAAGGAAAACTTTAGGTGATTTGGGGTCATTTCCCTATATGGTTAATTGTGTGGAAATGACCGCAGATCACCTAAAGTTTTGCAGTTACCAGCTGTCAGGACTGGAATATTCCTATCACCTATTGGGCTGTCAATATTGAGCTTCCCGACAAAAGGTACCAGAGTTGGATTTTGTACTGTGATATGAACGTGTCCTCTGGTGCTTGACACTGGAACTGTGTGGGTAGTGGAGGAGAAAAACGGTTTGGAATGTTCAGAGCCAAAAGCTAGTCTGTGAAATATTCTTCCAAATCTGACAGTTCACATACAAAATAAACTTGATAGAGGATTTCCTAAATTTTGCAACAATTCTAAAAATGTACATGTCATAACCAATAATGAGCTGTGAAGCTGAAAGAAGTTATTTCAGACTGTCAAGAATAAAAAAAAAATTGATTTGGATCACTATGCTAGTGGAAAGACATTTTCTAATTGCTCTCCAGAAATGCTCCTACGAAGTCCTTCATAAAGAGGAAATCAATGAGTATACAGATATAAAATTATAGGAAAAACTATTATGGAAGAATGTCTGACAGTTAATGAAAGCAAGGCAGCCGGGTGCGGTGGCTCACGCCTGTAATCCCAGCACTCTGGGAGGCCGAGGCGGGCAGATCACGAGGTCAGGAGATCGAGACCAACCTGACTAACATGGTGAAACCCTGTCTCTACTAAAAATACAAAAAATTAGCTGGGCGTGGTGGCGGACGCCTGTAGTCCCAGCTACTTGGGAGGCTGAGGCAGGAGAATGGCGTGAACCTGGGAGGCGGAGCTTGCAGTGACCCAAGATCGAGCCACTGCACTCCAGCCTGGGCTACAGAGTGAGACTCCAACTCAAAAAAAAAAAAAAAAAAAAAAAATACAAAAAACAAGACAAGGTTCTTTTTCTGGAGTTTGTGATACCTATATATCAGCTTTCCGAGCTTTGTAATGTGATGTGATTGCTTTTCTCATCCTAAGTAAATATTCATTTTTGTATCTAATTTTGAATTTGTAAATTTGTATTCTTTTCAAAAAACAGTATTTCCATCCCCAACCCCTCCCCACTTTTAACAGTATAATCTTTAGAACCCACAGAACCTGGATCTGTGTCTATGATAAGGCTATCAAAATTGCTCAGTGGGCTAAAAATATCATAACCATCTCTCAAAATACCTATTTTTCTCCTCAGGAAACCGTTTCTAAAAGATATACATCTGATGAATTGGGAATGCTCTCTAAGTGGATGTAAGCGCAATCCCGTGCAGACAAGAGAAGCCTTCTCCTGAATGTTGATGGGAGGGTGGAATAGCACTGTTAGTGTTGCTATGGTAGCTAAGATGAAACCACGGAAGAGCAGATAAAACTTTAGGTGTAGCAGCACTTTGCTGTGAAAGAAGTTCTCAACAGTGGCCACCCTCAAATGAAACCTGCTGCACACACATCCAGAGAGCAATTATGAGAAAAATGCCATCTCCTTGCAAATCTTACTCTGCCTCTGTAATTTTCTTGGCACAAACACGCCTCTTCTAAATAATTGTGCCCATTTTATTGTTATTACCCATCACATTTTCTTTTTAAAGTCAAAACAGAAAACAATATGACCTGAGTTAAGTAGATATTAAATGCAAATTTGCTTCCTAATAATATTAGGCCTTTTCCAGAAAGCTGACAAAACTACTTGCACGCTTTATAAAGCACAGAACACTTCAGGCCTGTGCCATTTCACTTTGTAAAGGGGAGTACAGAAGACTTGAGGGAAACATTTGGTTCATGTTCACTTTCAGCTCCATGAAGGCAAGGACTAGTTTTATCCCTACCATTTTGTTCCCAGTAACTCCTGTGGTCTGGCACATAGCATTTGTTCCATGAATAAATATGCACCAAAATATGTAATCTTTTCCTCCAAAAAATTGGCAAACATTTACTGATAGAATTTCAAACAGAATTTAATACATGCATGACAATGTATTTTCAATACTCTTTCTTCATATCCTAAATCTTGACTGAATTTGGGGAAAATTATCATCTTGTTTCTTCTTTTGTTTACTTACACTTTCCCTTTTATTTTTTATATTTTTGAATTAGAAGGGTCCTTCAATCACTGTGGTTTTTTAGTGGCTGCCTTTGCATTTAAAAGTGTTTTCTCTTCTATAAATGTTTCCATGACAACTCCCTGATGCCCACCCCCTCCTCTTACAAAGCACAGACATTTATTAGGAAATCCATAATTGTACTTTGACCTTATTCCTTCATATTTCTGTCTGCCACACTGGGCTTTAAGATATTTGAGGGCTTTGTATGACGCTTGAGTGTAAACACTTAATACATGCTTAATTAAGGAAGAAATGGCAGACTCTTTGTCTATATTAAACCAAATGGGTAAAAAAACACACATTTTTGGGGAAAGGCAGATGATTTTTTGATTTGTATAATTTTCCTGTTATATTAAAAACATGGACCTAGGCAATTTGAATATACTTCTAAACTATTTTTCCTGGATCAATGAGAAAACAGAAACAATATTTGTTCAAGCATTTTTCTTTTTCATCCTTCCATTTCCAGGAAAACTGTGTCCTCTTTCTTTTCTTCACCCTTTTTTACCTGATCTCCTGCCCCTCCCAACCAATATGAATCACCTGAATATACTCTGAACACTAAAACACATATGTACTTTTATGTTCCTTTTCTTCTGGAAAGCATATCTCTTTAAAGAAAATTCTTGGATCAAGAGAAAAAAAATAAAAGGAAATGCACACGTATCGAAGAACCAGCAACACAGACTCACTAAAACGTCAAAAAAGTGTTGTGAACTACATATGGGCAATATGTACTTCATGTGGGCAATATTCTCTATATTTGAAAAATATATAGATAATTTAATAGCTTCTAATGCAAAAAAGCAAAGTGATACTTATCAGGTTTTTAAATATCTATGAAGTTATTGTTAAAATGACCAAAAGTTAATTAAAATAGTGTTTGCAAAATAAATATATTGACTATTTCAACTTCTACTTGTCCTGACCCCCAAAAAGTAGCATTTTGTGGTCTAATCCCTTCAATCTCTTCCCAAAGCAAAGCTATTTTGTCAGCGGATTTTGTTTTTGGATGTGAAGAGGAGAGTAGTGGAGTCAATCAGAGGGTACAACTGTTGCTGCCCATAAGGCAGTAAAATTCACTGGGTGGAAAAGAGAGAATGTGAGTAGAAAATTGATTGCTATTGATGCTGCCAGAAACATTCCTTGCTCAAAAGGAGGTCTTAAATTCTAAAGGGTAGCATAGTGGCAGGGATAACTTGACTATCATTGAGTGCCTATATCCACTTTAACATTTTCACATGTAAGCAATACCAAAATATCCTTATATCATAGGATGTTACAGGTAAGTGAATTCTATATAGAAGTTTCAATAAATATCACAAGCTTCTCAATTAAAATATCTTAGCATAACTATTTTAAAATGTATTTAACTCAGATTACCAAATAAGACTGCCCAAACTCAAAAAGGTTAGGAATACAACCAGAATAGTTTCCTCCTTTTAGAATTAAAAACACCAATGCCCAAAAATATCAAGGCCTTCACTAACTTGTGAGAATGCAGTGCTAAAATATAGAATTTATTTTATATATAAATACTCCAAATTTTGAGGCTGTAAAATATTTCTGTGTGAATTACTCAAGAAATCTATTCCTTTATGAAGTATTAAACTGGGGCCCATGGATGAGAGATCAGATACAAATTAAACAAGTACATCAGGCTATCTTTATATCAGTAAAATATAACACTAACATTTAAAATTTATTCTGGACCTGCACTATTCTTTTCTCATATTATTAACTAATTTAATTTTTATAACAATCATGTGAAGGAAGAAACCATTATTATCCTCATTTTGCAAATGGGAAAACTGAGGCTCAAAGAGGTCAAATACTTGCTCAGGGCCACAATGGCTGTTAAGTGGCAGATATGGGAAGGATTCGGCTTCTACAAAACCATCAAAGCCTACATATTCCAATATATCATTAAATATTAGCTTTGATGTTAGAATCAAGGTAACATGATGTTAGAACAGAGTCCTTGCCACTAGAAAATTTATCATCTTGAAACAAGGAGTACACACGTGAACCAATGAAGAAGACTATGGAGGCAAAACAAATGCCAAAATATGTGGTATAGCAAAGTAATAGAAATGAAATGGGAATGTCAATTACTGCTTACATTTGTGTGTAGACTGTTACATTGGTGGCCCCAAATGAACTACACCTCCTGGGATCCATGTGACTGTGTTGTCACCTCACACATTGGCTGTGGGATAAGTCCTGTGATTTGCTCTGGCCAATAAAACATTAACAAGCATAATACAAGGTAAGACTTGAGTTTCTCTTGGAATAGGCTCTCCTAAGATCCCTGAACCACTATGTAAAATGTTCTGGCTATGCTGCCAGAGAAAACATATGGTAATAGAGATGCCCAGCTAGAATCAGTTATTCTAGCCAGGTCAGTTAAGGCACCAGACGAGTGAGTGAAGAAGCCATCCTTGGACACCATTTTGAGCAGAAGAGCTACCCAGCTGATCCTAGACTTTATAGAGTTGAGAAATAACCCTTATTGTGTTAGCTCACCAACTTTTTGTGATTTATTACACAGCCACAGATAACTGAGACAACTTATAAAGCACTATAAAGTTTTTGAATATCTTTTATTCGTTATCTTACTTAATATTTGATATGGTTTGGCTGTGTCCCCACCAAAATCTTATCTCGAATTCCCACATGTTGTGGGAGGGACCTGGTGGGAGGTAATTGAATCATGGAGGCAAGTCTTTCCTGTGTTGTTCTTGTGATAGTGAATAAGTCTCACAAGATCTGAAGGTTTTAAAAAGAGGAGTTCCCCTGCACAAGCTCTCTCTCTCTGCCTGCTGCCAACCAGGTAAGACATGAGTTGCTTCTCCTTGCCTTCTGCCATGATTGTGAGCCTTCTGCAGCCACATGGAACTGTAAGTCCAATTAAACCTCTTTCTTTTGTCAATTGCCCAGTCTTGGGTGTCTTTATCAGTAGTATGAAAACAGACTAATACAATATTCAGTACAATTCCACAGCCATTTTAATAAGATGGAAATTGAACCTTGGAAATGTAAACTGACTTGCCCAAAGTCATATAATGAAGGAAGCAAAAATTTCATATTTAACACAGGCTTTCTGGCATGTGTTTGCAAGCAATTTTCACTACAGGAAAGATAAATGATACTGGAAGAGATCAATGTGAGATAGGCATAGCTGGAGGAAGTACAATTCAATTTGTGCCTTGGAGGAAAGATGGGCATTGAATAGGGACTGTGAATTTAAGTCACAATCCCAAACCTTTATTCTGAACATATGTTGAAATGGAAAATACAAATGTAAAGGTAAAATATTACTATTTCCTATCTCTACCCTCTATCAATGATTATAGCATCCTTATTGAGTATCTACCCTTCAATTATTGCCCATGATTTCTCTAATTCTTACAACAGTGCTGAAATAATTTCCTGTTTTACAAATAAACTAAGTCTCAGGAATCTAAGTTTAGCTAATAAGTTGTGGAGTTGGAATTTGAATCCATTTGTATTAGGTTCCAACTCATAAATTATTTCAACAATGTTTTATCTACATGTGGAACTCTATTTGCAGTGGTCCAGGGTTACATGAAGGTTGCAAAGCTCCCAAAAGAACATGATTTTATTAAGAAGGATATCTATGATTCCCAATTAGCATACTAGAGATATACTAAAATGTTAGCACCATAGTCCTTAAAAATTATGTAAAGGGGGATCTGGATATACTTCATAGAATTAAAAAGTCCAGCAGCAGCAATATTAATAGATAGTCCATGCTTTACTAAGGAGGATCTGGCAGAAAAAATCCCATAGATGTCTCTCTCATGTTTCAAGTTAATCTGCATTATTAAATTGATTCACAGCTATCCAGTAGCAATCTCATTTGCAGCTGTCCAAATTATTGAAAGCACCCTGATGAAGATAAAGGCAGCATACAGTCATGTTGCATTAGACCAATTTCAGTCTTCTTTGTTTAAAAAGATGATATACATTAACATGTATAGCACTGTGCCAGACACATGATGGACACTCCATTAGTGCTAGTTTTCTGTCTCTTGTTTTAAATAGCAGGGAAATAAGAAAAGGTACCTCAAAATTCTAATCTTACTCAAGATACTTTAAAAGAGTTGTACAATAGGGGCCTAGTGATGAAAGATAATGGGATATGTGCAAAGTCTGACAGGTAGCAAAGAACAATAAAAACTCAAAGTTAACTGAACACATTCCTGCCTTGGAATAGCAGGTCAGCCTGATATGTAATTTATATATTCTCTCTTTCTCTCTGTCTCTCTCCTGTGTATTCCACGAGGTGCTAAGCACTGATCTAGGTACATGATATACTTCAGGGAACAAAACTGATAAAGATCTGGGCCCTGGTGGAGCTTACATTCTAGGGGGAAATGATGTACTACTTATATATTTCGCAGTTAAATTTTGCCTTAGGACTCACACTTCTTTAAAATATGTACAATAATACAGACCTGAGAAAATAAGTGAGAGGCTGCAATTTAGTAAAAGCATGTGCTGCAGGTTGCTGTATCTTAGGACCCAATATGGCAACCCCTCTCTCCATATTCTGACCAGGAAAGGGGTGATATGAATGGGTATAAATGCTACTGTGGGTGTGGTCGTGTGCCTGAGATGTAGCCATGGAAACACAGGTAATGAATAAATAAATTCTATTTTCAAGTTTCCTTTGCTGCAATAAGTCTATCTATCATATTTACCATACATATTTTATTAGAATTGTTTCATTTTTTCGACCTAGCTAAAATAAGACATTCTATATATGTCAATCATAAGACTGACAAGCTCATTATTATTTTAATATACTGTAATCAAATAGGAAAGATGTAACATTTAAAAAGTGGAGAAGAGAGGACAAAATTATAATATAATGAGGTCTCTAAAATTATATTAAATTATATATGTGTCTAAAAAGAGAAGAAAATGATTGAAAAATGAATTTCTACCTGAAATGCTCATAATGGAACTCAAAGCATATCGTGCAAAATACTAGAGCATATGCTTACACATCTAAACTAACTATCTTAGGTCACCTTGATAGGCTAAATGAAATGCTTCTCATACTGCCTTCTAAATGATTATGGTTCTTTGAAAGGGTGAATTACACAATTTTTTGCATTTTATATGAAATAGACGTATCAGATAGTTCAAGAGTTTTGCCGATGTCTTTATACAATCCTCTAAAGTTTGACACATGAATAAGTTCTGAATAAAATGAACACATTCCATTTCATAGGCCAAGTTAGATGATCTTTCAAGCAATCACTTGACCTTTTACCTCAGAGGAAGGCCAACCAGCAACCATCAGTTTCTCATTTGCTTCTGATGTTTAATTCATTTAAAATTAGCTTTAAAAAACCTTTCTGTATCCAAATATCATGAAACCTTTTCTGCGATTAAGCCTGATCCATCCACTATCCTTTTTTCCATTTGCCAGTGATCTAGAAGGTTAACAGAGCTGGGGAGTAAAATTCTTAGCCTCTGTTTCTGAAACTTCGGTTCTGCCTCCATATTATCACAAACTTATCTTCCCTTTTCTGTAACACACTGAGTCATTCCTCTTACTTTTCATTTCATACCTTTCCATGTTGAGCTATGCATTACTATGCATTACTTTTCCCATAAAATAAGCATTACTTTTATATATACATTTTCTTGACTTAAACTTTTCTTCCCTAATAGGTTTATGATAAGCAACAATTTATTACAGATGATGTGATGTTGCTAAACTTTATTAGTCTAAATGACTAACCTGAAACTGTCATAAATTTTTCAATTAAAGGCTTTAAAATTTTAGGTTGGGCCTAAAAAGGGCCTAACCCTTTCTATACTCTTTCTGAAATTCATGCCCAAGTTCAGTTTAATGTGAAACTGCACTACTCAAATGAAAGTTAGCTTTCAATGGCAATCATCCACAACTGTCTCTACAGATATGTTAGATATAATACATACTTACATAATTTATGTAATAATATGCACAATTATATATACTATATACATTATATGCATTTCTTCCACATACTTCTGGGGAAAAATAACCTCAAGAAAGTTACTTGTATTTATTGTTAGAGATGAGATTTCAAGATGAAACAGAGAAAGAAGGTATGTTTCATGAGCCCTACATTTTTAGGACCTTCACCCCTGCCATCTGCCCAAAACATTCCTTCTCTATTTGATTTCTATTTAGCATACTAGAGATACACTAAGTAGTAGCAATAATTAATTCCTAGTCTTCTTTCAGAGCTCAGTTTAAACTTCTTCAAAGAAACTTATCTTGACATCCCAGACAAAATAATATTCTCTCTCACCCTCTTGCTCGCTCTCTATGTTTTATAAATAGCTGTTAAATGAATGAACAGGGATGAATAAATGGATGAATGAAAGAAAGGCAGAAGGAGAGGGAAGTAGTTTTCTTTAGGGATTTTATGCCTCCATTTACCATTTTGTAAATCCATATGAAGAGGCAATGAGAGGAATTCAGGGCCAATTTACCTGATGCCCAGCCATCTACAGCTAGACTATCAAACTAAATCCATAAGATGTCTATAATTATAAATTTTATGTAACATAGTAACCTTAGTCTGTAATTTTCTTTGTATTATAATTAATTTTTTCAACATATACTTTATTGCTTTATTTTTAATGTAGTTCTTAGCTGACAAATAACAATTGTACATATTCATGGAGTTCATAGAGTACGCAGTGATGTTCTGAAATGTACATAATGTAAGTGATTAGATCAGGGTAATTAGCAAGCTTTAGGCTTGCTGGGTGTTTATCTCATTACCCATAGCAGAATCATTTGCATCACTTAATAAAGCTTTTTAAAATAAATGATTGCTATCCTCTAGAGTAGTTATTTTCCCCGACAGCCCCTTAACCAACTTATTGTCTCCACCACTTTTTTCTATCTTCCTCCACTTATCTTACTTAGCTTTCCTATTTTTCTCCTTCCTCAATATCAACCTAAGAAGTTCCATTCTAGCATTATGTGGTGTAAATACTAAGGGAAAGTCTGTGAGTCAACAGTGAGGCTGAATGAGGCTGAATTTGATCAGAGTTCTTGAGCAGAACAAACTCCAGAAACAGGGGAAAAGTATAACACATGACCAAGAGCTCAGCTGAGTCCCAGCTCCACCACTGGCTACTGAGTGACCTTGTGTGACTGTGGACAAGTAATATATAAAGCCTTATTTTTGTCATCTCTTAAATGAGAATCACTTATATTTCATTTATTTAAAAAATATTAATGAAGCTTCTGTTATGATCAAGGTACTATAGACATTGATGATACATTTCACAAGGTCCCTGGTCTCAAGAATTTATTAACATATTCTAATAACATTGAGAGCATGTCAATAAGTAAGCAGTAACAAACAAAAGCAAACAAGTTAATGTGACATAATAACAAATATTGTGAAGAAAATAACTGCAGTAATTTATGATGGAAAGTGTTGGAGGATATGGGATTCTATGTTAGATCGGGTAGTCAGGTAGGTTTCTTTTTTTAAAGTAACATTTGAACTGAGATGAATGATGAGAAAATCTGAGAGAACAGCACAGTCAGAATCACAGTGTCTTTGAGGTGAAATACACATGGAAGAAAAAACAAAGACCAGTGCGGCTGAAGGAAAATGGGCAAAGCTAGGATTTGTTAGCAGATGTCAGTAAAGACGGAGGTAGGGACCTGAGAATGTAAACAACTGTAGATATAGTAAGATGTCTGGAGTTTATTCTAAGAGCAAAAGGAAGTAGTGGTAATATTTGAAGCATAAAAGTGACATAATATCATTTACTTTTCAAACGATCCCTCAGGAAAATGCAGAAAATGGATTGGGGTTGTCAAAAGGCAATTGCATGAGTCCAGGTAAAATTATGGAAGCTTTGACCTGAGTGTAGCACTGGATTTGGTGATAAATGGGTGGATTTGGGATGTAATTTGGAAGGTGAACCAAAAGGATGCGTGAGTTGAGGAAAAGAGAGAAATTGAGGATGTATTAGAGTAGGCTTCTCCAGAAGCAGAAACTAAGATAATGTTTTATATACGAGTGATTTATTGAGTAAGTGTTCCCACAGGAAACTGTGGTGGGAGTAATGAAAGGAGGGCAGGGAAATAGAAGGGCAAGTAAAGGTATGATTTTAGGCATAGTCCAGAAGACAGTAGCTTGAACTAAATTCTGCAGGGGACTCTGGATAAGTGATGCCTCAGAGTTTGTCCTGATTTGGCAAAGGAATTGAGGTTTCATACTCTCATACCAGCTAGTCATTAACTCAAGTTCTCCCTAGAGAGATCTAAACTTCCAGGCATTTACAACTTTATATCGGATTTTGGCAAAGCAGCTCCAGTAGCCACAGTGCCTGCCCAGGGGAATCACAGGTACAGGTGTTGGAAGTAAATCTTGCGCAGGGTTGAGGTGGGCGCAGAAAGCACAAAAATGGTAACAGGTGTCTCAGGGGGTTTGGCCACAATACCAACAGTGTTCCCTACGATTATACATAACATGCCAACTCAGTGTGGCCCCCTGATGAGTTGTTTAAAGTACAGTTATTGAATCAGATGCTTCATTTTAACAAGATCCCCATTTGGTTCTTACACACATGAAAATTGTGAAGCACAGATATATAGTGCACTCCCTGATGGTTTGTTGCAAAGGATTAAATGAAATGATGCAAACTGTCTTGTAAAGGACTATTGTCTTATTACAATGATGGTTATGATGTTGTTAATGATGTGCTTACTGCATCTATCTATTATGAAATTTGTTTTGTTTTCTATCCATTATTATAGTCGATTCATTTCAGCTTCCTCTACTACGGTGTTTCTCAATTGGGGTGCTATTGGCATTTTGGGTAGGATAATTATTTTGCTGTTGCTCAGGCTGTCCCATGCATTTTAGAATCTTTAGAATCCATGAACATGAAGTATCAATAGCACCTCCAGTCTTTGTAACATCCAATAATATCTCCACACAGTTTTAGGAATCCCTAGAAGGGGATTACCAACCACTTTGAGAACCATGGAACTCCTCAGGGGGAAAATCATGTCTTATTTTAATTGTGTGCCTTCCTTTTCCTAGGGAATACAGTGCCTGAAGCAGATAAGACTCTTAAGATATGTTCATTAAACAATAAAAAATAATAATTATCCTATTATCTCAGTCAATTTTCACAATGACCATGCTTGCAAGGCTATTCTAATTCCTACCTTATAGGTGAGGAAACAGAACCTGGAGGAGGTTAGGTATGTTGTCCCAATACACACAGATAGGGCAGAGCTGAGATTGTATCTATTTGTGTCTGACTGACTTTTAGGCTCATACTCTTTGTAATTCTCCAAGCTACTTGAATAAATAAAGGATTTCATAAGTGTATGACTTCGTTTCTGTGAATGCCAGTCTGTTGTGAATACTGTAAGTTGGTTTAATGAAGCAGAGTAAAAGCTAACTTCCAGAAGGTAAGTGACAGACAGCCTATAAAACATTTAAATCCAAATGCATTTTCACTGTTCATGGAATTAGTTTAGGCTGCCTCTAAAATCCATCAACAAGGCTGGGAGCATGGCAGTGACCCTGGTCACAAGGTTACTGTTCCATTCTCTAAGTCTCAAGAGGAGAATGGACCACTCAGCAAGCCATGGGCAAAGCTTACATTAATGTTCTGAGCAAGTCTGGCACAACGCAAGTGAAAATATGTCTGTTAAATTTGTGCCTTTTATTTCCCAACACAACACACATATATCTTACATTATCTGTCTTATTTTAGCCTTTTCTTCAGAGTTGGTAATTATTTCATCTTAACCTAGATAAGGAAATTTTAAGAGATATGCCTTCATGTTCACAAATCTAAGACCAGTTAACATTTTATTTTTAAAATTTTAGTATTTGTAAAATTAATCTAAGATCAGAAGACGCCTTTCTCAATCCTTTGGCAGAGAAGTTGGAAACTTCCTTGCTTTGATTTGTACGAGTGTTACTAATGCATTGGTAATATAGCACAAGCTCAAATTACAACTTAAATTGTTTAAAAGGTAGTTAACATGACAGTAGAATGTTACAATGTGAAAATGAAAATGGTATTGTAAATAGGAATGTGGGGGGAAATAACCATATCAGATTTAAATTTACTATAAGTGAAGTATATGTTTATTGCTGGAAAAATAATCATGATTTGTATTTTCTTATAAACCATCATTGCTTTTAAAACTTTGGCATGACCCAAGGAGCTTGTTAGCACACAGATTCCTAGGCTCCACAACTAGACATCCTGATTCAAAAGGTCTGCAAAGGGAAGGTGGAGAAGGGGGCAAAAGAGTGTTTCTAAATAGCTCCCAGAGCTGCTGCTGCTGCTGCTCTGCTGACCACCCCTTACAGTGGCACAGAAGGGAGGATACTTTTGCAGACATTTAAAAAATATGTTTCTCCTGGTCTAACCTTGAAAGTTGAGATAAAAAGTATAAAGCATGTATTAAACTTTTAAAGAGTCAGGTGTGTTAATATATAATGCATATATAAAAAAATTCATTCTTTGTAATCACACAACTTGATGAGTTTTTTTTTTGACATTTGTTTGTTTGTTTTTGAGACAGTCTGGCACTGTCACTCAGGCTGGAGGGCAGAGGGGCAAGCTTGGCTCACTGCAACCCCCATCTCCTGGGTTCAGGCGATTCTCATACCTCAGCCTCCCAAGTAGCTAGGATTATAGCTGCGCACCACTATGCCCGGCTAATTTTTGAATTTTTAGTAGAGACAGGGTTTTGCCATTTTGCCCAGGCTGGTCTCAAACTCCTGGCCTCAAGCAATCCACCCGCCTCAGCCTTGCAAAGTGTTGGGATTACAGGCAGGCATGAGCCACTGCTCCCAGCCTCAACTTGATGAGTTTTGAAAAGTGTATATAATCATATAATCATGACCATAATCAAAATATACACATCTCTAAAACCTTCAAAAATCCCCTCATCTCCTTGCAGTCAATCCCTTCCCCAGCTCCTAGTCTTGGCAACTACTCATTTGTCCCTTTGGTTTTATTTTCTCTAGAATGCCCTATATAAATAAAATTATAGAGTTTGTAACCTTTTGAGTCTGGGCTTCTTGCACTTAGTTTAATCCACAATACTGCACATTGCGTGCATCAATCATTTGTTTCTTTTCATTGTTGAGTAGTATCCTGTATCCTGATAGTGTCACAATTTGCTTTTCCATTCTCTAAATAATGGGTGTTTGGGTTCTTCGCTTGTGCCAGTCAGGTGTAGAAATATGGTAGAGGACATTGACGTCTTAGAAAAATGATAAATCACCCGCAGAAAAAATCCTTGTTCCCTGAATGACTGTGTGGAGCAAATCCCCCACCACTGCATTGAACTTTCAGATGAGTGTCAAATAAACCTTTGTTGGGTTAAGCCACCAAAGTTTTCATACTCTAATATAGTGCCTCTAAATTATACTATCAGTTCTAAAAAGGGCAAGATAATGTGCATGTGCGTGATTGTGTGAAACTGTATCTTTTCCTTGATGCTATATATAACTCTTCAGAGATAAACTGATTCCTAAGAATTTTTAGACTCTAAATGCGAAGAAAGCTTAGATTTAAACCTGGAGAATGAGAATGAAGAAAGAGGTTAGACGTATGCTAGGATTTAAAGAAGGAATAACTATTTGCTTAAAAAGATTTTTCTTCTTTTCTGCATGTGAACCATACTTTTTATGGAATAATTTGCTTACTCATTGCATTTCTCTATTGACTTTATTAGAGATTGATTCGTTCTTAAATTATGTTTGCATTTAGAATGTATTTTCTTTTATTTTTTAATACAATAGGTTTTTTCGTGCAACAGAAATAAGATTGATTATATTCTCCTGCCTGAAAATTTAAACTTCTGTCCATAAAAATGTAGGGTTTTTCCTTTTTTTATTGAAACTTTTATAGATAATTGTAGATTCATTTGCAGTGGTAAGAAAGGCACCTTGTACACTTTGCCTAGTTTCTCCAATGGTGACATTTTGCAAAACCATAGGGCAATATTCACAATCAAGATATTGATATGAATGAAATCCACCAATGTTATTCAGATTTTCTCAGTTTTACTGGTAATCTCATGTGTGTGGTGTATTAAGTTTCATAATATTTTATTACCTGTGGTAGATTTTTAAAATGAATGACTCACTTCTTAAAGGTATTTATAATCTTTATTGCTATTGTTATACTTTTAAGAGATCATTTATGAAATAAAATCTTTTAGTAAGGAAATATTTATATAAAGTTCTATAATTAAGCTAATTTGACAGTTCAATTGCAACTAGATATGTTTTATATTAAGATTTCCTCTTTATTTCAAAAGCCATATAATATTTCTTTTTGTAAAATGCATTTAATAAGTGTTTTCTCATTCTAATTGAAAATGTAGAATATTTATTTGACAAGTATTTTTGTGGGATGCTAAAATCTATTATCAGGTGAGTAGTTACAAATTATTTCAGATATAAATTGAGTAAACAGTGACGTATATTTGTAATATGGTGCTGTATTTTCCTGAAATTCTACTGTATGAATTTCACAAACCCTTCTTTATCTTTCTCTCCCTGCTTTTATTTTTGGCAAAAGCTAGCTCATCTCTGTTATGCAGAGGGATACTGACTTATAAGACCAGTATTTTCAAACCAGACAACTGTGGTGTCTACTTCTAATACATAAAGTACAGCATGGCAGGTTAAATAAAGAGAAGATGCCCCAAAATGTACACTCATTATTCTTTAGCCTAGGGGTACCATCCACTTATTAAAAAGCAGATTTTGAGCTTTTGTGTGCTGTCAACATGTTAAGAGAATAAAGTCAGTGCTACTGTCAATTACCTTGCCAAATGTCATACTACTTTTGACAAATATCTAAGTTGACTACTGGAAAGTGCACTCAGTGCGACCTTAACTTCATGTCTTACCTAAGTTCTTTCTGGTCTAAAGAAGACCACTGAACCTATGGAATAAACCTTTCAAGCTAAGAACATCTGAGAAATAGGAAAGGAAAATGAAACAAAATAAATAAATAAATAAATAAAAGGACATCCATTAGGCAGATTGCACCAGAAAACTCCCTTTGTCCCTTGAAGAATGCCAATCACGCAAAATCAAGTCAGGGAAGTTCAGACTTTGACATATTTCTATGAAACAGTTTCAAACTTATAGATTTTTAAAAAGCCCTTTCTCTGGCATTTATCTGACTTAATAATATCTTCTACCTTTTTTATTAATTTCTGAAAGGATAGTACTGAGGAGGCCAAGTTTCTATATATTTATTTTCCACTGTAAAATTTTACATATAATTTATTTTCTTGGTCAATAGCAGACCTCAGAAAATTTTCCTCAATTAATATTAACATCTTTTTCTTCTCATTTATTTTTTTCATTATTTAATTTACAGATTTGAAATCAGTGTTACTCTATTAAAATGTAGTAACATTTAGCTATGTTTGTTGATAGCATAAGAAACACTACAATAAATAGTAAATGTGAGCAAACTAAATCTGATAAATAAAAATGTATTCATAGAATCCAACAAAAACTTTTCTTCATGGCACATATTTCTTCAAATGTTTAAGCTAATCTATGTACCAAGGCACTGAAAAGATAAAATAAAACAAGCCTACAGAGAACTTCATGGCCACTTTTCCTTTTAGATCTGACTTTGCTTTGTGGGAATGAGATTTTTTTAAAAAACACACTATTGTTATGCTTCATTTAATTTATAATAAATTGTAGGCTTTTTCTTGGAACTCTAATACAATCTTTAAGAAATAAAGTTACATGATACATATCTTCAACAGTGGGGCTTTTGGGCCAATTTTATTTTTGGTACAAATCTATACGATACATTCAGAAAAGATAAGCTTATTTAGTTTGTCCTTAGGACTGAATGTTTACTTTCATAAAAGACAATAGTCACAACTCATGACCAAAATGAGAAAATGAATTGCTACAATACGTTCAACAGAAAGAAACATGTTTAAGTGAGGGGACCAGTGGTTCAGGTCAACAAGATATACACCATTTAGAGAGCTAAGAAAATATAAAGGATATTATAAATGGAAACAATGACGTTTTAAAAAACTCAACAGATGTTTAGACAGATAGGGATATAAATGGTGCTTTTTAAAATATAGATTTAGAAACTTGCATTTACTTACCTAAGACTGACAGTTTGCTTTTAATAATTCAGTGTATTTCATCATAACCACCAAATTTTATTTCACTAGTCATGAACAAATGGTTGGACATTTACATTATTTGCATTTTTCACTGCTATAAAACTATCCTGCACAATACTGAAGAAGAATAAAGTTGGAAAACTGACATTACCTGACTTGAAGGCTTACAATAAAGCTACCATAGGATACAATTTGACTTTAAGACTTACCATAAAGCTACAGCAATCTAGGAAGTGTGGTACTGGCAAAAGAACGCACAGAGAGATCAATAGAACAGAATAGAGAGCCCAGATATAGACTCACATAAATATAGTAATTTGATCTTTGACAAAGGAGCAAAGGCAATACAATAGAGAAAAGATAGTCTTTTCAACAAATGGTGCTAGAACAGCTGGACATGCACAGAGAAAAAAAGAAATCTAGGTAGTAACCTTGCTCCCTTCACAAAATTTAACTCATAATGGATCACAGACCTAAATGCAAAACACACACTATAAAAGTCCTAGAAGATGACATAGGAGAAAATCTAGATGACCTTGGCTTTTGCCATGACTTTTTAGATATGCTACCAAAGGCATAATCCAAAAAATTGATAAACTGGACTTCATTAAAATTAAAAGCTTCTGCTCTATAAAAGACACTTTCAAGGGGATAAAAATGTAAGCCACAGCCTTGGAAAAATATTTGCAAAAGACACATCTGATAAAGACTGTTATCCAAAATATAGAAAGAACTTAAAATTCAATGCTAAGAAAATTAATGACCTGATTAAAAAAATGGGCCAAAGACCTTACCAGATACCTCACCAAAAAAGATATATAGATGGTAAGTAGGCATATGACATCTTATTATTATTATATGATGCTCCACATCGTATATCATCAGGGAAATGCAAATTAAAACAATAATGAGCTATCACTACACACTATTAGAATGGCCAAAATAAAAAAAAAAACTCTGACAAAACCAAATGCTGATGAGAATTTAAAGCACTAGACACTCATTCATGGCTGGTGGAAATGCAAAATAGTACAATTATGTTGGAAGACAGTTTGGTGGTGTCTTACTAAACATATTGTTACCATATGATTCAGCAATTGCACTCCTTGGTGTTTACCCAGAGGAGTTGAAAACTCGTGTCTGTACAAAAGCTTGCACATGAATGTTTATACCAGCTTTATTCATAATTTCCAAAACTTGGAAGCAACCAAGATGTACTTCAGTAGGCTAATAGATAAATAAACTGTTGTACATCCAGATAATGGAACATTATTCAGAGCTTAAAAAATGAGCTATCAAGTTATGAAAAGACATGGAGGAAACTTAGATGCATATTACTAAGTGAAAGAAGCCAATCCCAAGAGGCTAAATTCTGTGACTCTAATTGCATGATATTCTGGGAAAGACAAAAGTATGGAAGCAGTAATAAGATCAGTGGTTGCCAGGGTTTAGGGGATAGGGAGTAAGTAGGTGAAGTGCAGAGGATTTTTAGAGCAGTGAAACAATTCTGTATGGTAGTATAACAGTGGATACATGTCATATATTTGTCCAAAGTCAGAATGTACAACACCAAGAGTGAACCCTAACATGAACTGTGGACTTTGGACGATAATGATGTGCCATTGTAGATGCATTAATTACGACAAATATACCATTTTGATGGGGGATGTTAATAATAAGGGAGGCTATACATGTTTAGGGGCAAATGGTATACGGAAAATCTCTATACCTTCCTTTCAATTTTGCCGTAAACCTAAAACTACCCTGAGAATTAAAAGCTTTTAAAATTATGATAAACACAATTTAAGAAAAATTGGTGGTGTGCATTATTAGGGCTCTGTTAGTACTCTCTAAAAAGCTGGTACTAACATACAATCTCTTTTATTTTTAATTTTTCATTGAGGAAAATTTCAAACTTACGTATAAATGGAGAAAGCAATATAATGAGCTAGCATGCACTCATTATACTCATCTCCAACAATCAGCAACCGATAACCAATATTATTTTGTCCATTCCATTATCTGACTCCCCCTACTGCCTGTTGCAGGTTATTTTGAAGTAAATCTCAAACATCATATCATTTAAAAAATAAACACCAAAAAGGATATATTTAAATGCTCAGAGAAAACCTAAGTATAAATGTAAGGTCATAACCATATGAAGGAAGCTCACTCAAGAGAAATAAATATTTATCAAATAAATATTAAATATAAATATTTATCAAATAAATATTAAATAAAAATATTTATTGCTAAAATACAAACACAAAAGCATTGAAATTAAAAATAGAAACCGTGGGTAAAATATCTAAAGAAAACAATTTTATTGCATAGAATGATCCATGATGTCTGTATAAAATATATAGGTAGGCTAGGCATCCCTATGGCTCATGCCTGTAATCTCAGTACTTTGGGAGGCCAAGTTGGGAGGACTGCTTGAGGCCAGGAATCTGAGACCAGCCTGGGAAACCCAGCAAAATCCTGTCTCTACATAAATAAAAATAAAAACATTAGCCAGGTGCTAGGGTTTGGATCTGTGTCCCACCAAATCACAATAAAATATTATCCCCAGTGTTTAAGGTGGGGCCTGGTCGGAGGTGTTTGGATCATGGGCTTTTCCCTCATGAATGGCTTAGCTAGCACCATCCTCTTGGTGATGAGTGAGTTCACATGAGATCTGGTTGTTTAAAAGTGTGTGGCAGCTCCCCGCCACACTTGCTCCAGCTTCCACCATGTGATGTGCCTGCTTTCTCTTCTCCTTCTACCACGAGTAAAAGCTCCCTGAAGCTCCCCAGAAGATAAGCAGTTGTGAGTGCCATGTTTGTATAGCCTGCAGAACCATGAGCCAATTAAACCTCTTTCCTTTATAAATCACTCAGTCTTAGGTATTTCTTTCTGTTTTTTTTTTTTTTTTTTTTTTTTTTTTTTTACTTTAAGTTCTGGAATACATGCGTAGAACATGCAGGTTTGTTACGTAGGTACACACTTGCCATGGCGGTTTGCTGCACCCATCAACCCATCATCTGCATTAGATAGTTCTCCTAATGCTATCCATCCCCTAGCCCCCCACCTTCTGACAGGCCCCAGTGTGTGATGTTCCCCTCCCTGTGTCCATGTGTTTTCATTGCTCAGCTCCCACTTATGAGTGAGAACATGTGGTGTTTGGTTTTCTGTTCCTGTGTTAGTTTGCTGAGAATGATGGTTTCCAGCTTCATCTATGTCCCTGCAAAGATATGAACTCATCCTTTTTTATGGCTGCATTGTATTCCATGGTGCATATGTGCCACATTTTCTTTATCTAGTCTATAATTGATGCGCATTTGGGTTGGTTCCAAGTCATTGCTACTGTGAATAGTGCTGCAATAAACATACTTGTGCATGTGTCTTTATAGTAGAATGATTCATAATACTTTGGGTATATACCCAGTAATGGGATGGCTGGGTCAAATGGTATTTCTGGCTCTAGATCCTTGAGGAATCACTACACTGTCTTCCACAATGGTTGAACGAAT
Organism: Homo sapiens; assembly: GCF_000001405.40. Classification (NCBI taxonomy): domain Eukaryota; kingdom Metazoa; phylum Chordata; class Mammalia; order Primates; family Hominidae; genus Homo; species Homo sapiens. The sequence continues at coordinate 93,559,639 of NC_000004.12, read as the reverse complement.
TTACACTCCCACCAACAGTGTAAAAGTGTTCCTATTTTTCCACATCCTCTCCCGCATCTGTTGTTTCCTGACTTTTTAATGATTGCCATTCTAACTAGCATGAGATGGTATCTCATTGTGGTTTTGATTTGCATTTCTCCAATGACCAACGATGATGAGCTTTTTTTCATATTTTTGTTGTCCACATAAATGTCTTCTTTTGAGAAGTGTCTGTTCATATCCTTTACCTACTTTTTGATGGGGTTTTTTCCTGTAAATTTGTTTAAACTCCTTGTAGATTCTGTATATTAGCCTTTTGTCAGATGGATAGATTGCAAAAATTTTCTCCCATTCTGTAGGTTGCCTGTTCACTCTGATGATAGTTTATTTTGCTGTACAGAAGCTCTTTAGTTTAATTAGATCATATTTGTCAATTTTGGCTTCTGTTGCCATTGCTTTTGGTGTTTTAGTCATGAAGTCTTTGCACATGCCTATGTCCTGAATGCTATTGCCTAGGTTTTATGGGTTGGTCATATGGTTTTATGGGTTGGTCATAAATAGTTCTTACTATTTTGAGATGCATTCCATCAATACCTAGTTTATTGAGAGTTTTTAGCATGAAGGGGTGTTGAATTTTGTCAAAGGCCTTTTCTGCATCTATTGAGATTATCATGTAGTTTTTGTCATTGGTTCTGTTTATGTGATGGATTACGTCTATTGATTTGCATATGCTGAACCAGCTTTGCAATCCAGGGATGAAGCTGACTTGATCATGGTGAATAAGCTTTTTGATGTGCTGCTGGATTCATTTTACCAGTATTTTATTGAGGATTTTCACATTGATGTTCATTAGGATATTGGTCTGAAATTTTCTTTTTTTTGTTGTGTTTCTGCCAGGTTTTGGTTTCAGGATGATGCTGGCCTCATAAAATGAGTCAGGGAGGATTCCCTCGTTTTCTATTGTTTGGAATAGTTTCAGAAAGAATGGTACCAGCTCCTCTTTGTACCTCTGGTAGAATTCGGCTATGAGTCTTTCTGGTTCTGGGCATTTTTCGGTTGGTAGGCCATTAATAACTGCCTCAATTTCAGAACTTACTATTGGCCTATTCAGGGATTTGACTTCTTCCTGATTTAGTCTTGGGAGGGTGTATGTCCAGGAATTTATCCATTTATTCTAGATTTTCTAGTTTATTTGCATAGAGGTGTGCATAGTATTCTCTGATGGTAGTTTGTATTTCTGTGGGATCAGTGGTGATATCCCCTTTATCATTTTTTATTGTGTCTATTTGATTCTTCTCTCTTTTTTTCTTTATTAGTCTGGCTAGTAGTCTATCTATTTTGTTCATCTTTTCAAAAAACCATCTCCTGGATTCATTGATTTTTGAAGGGTTTTTCGTGTCTCTTTCTCCTTCAGTTGTGCTCTGATCTTAGTTATTTCTTGCCCTCTGCTAGCTTTTGAATTTGTTTGCTCTTGCCTCTCTAGTTCTTTTAATTTCATTGTTAGGGCGTCGATTTTAGATCTTTGCTGCTTTCTCCTGTGGGCATTTAGTGCTATAAATTTCCCTCTAAACACTGCTTTAGCTGTGTCCTACGTATTCTGGTACATTATGAATTTTTCTTATTGATGTCAAAGAACTTATTTATCTCTGCCTTAATTTCATTATTTACCCAGTAGTTATTCAGGAGCAGGTTGTTCAATTTCCATGTAGTTGTGTAGTTTTGAGTGAGTTTCTTAATCCTGAGTTCTAATTTGATTGCACTGTTGTCTGAGAGACTGTTTGTTATGATTTCCATTCTTTTGCATTTGCTGAGGAGTGTTTTACTTCCAATTATGTGGTCAATTTTAGAATAAGTGTGATGTGGTGCTGGGAAGAATGTATGTTCTGTTGATTTGGGGTGGAAAGTTCTGTAGATGACTATTAGGTCTGCTTGGTCCAGAACTGACTTCAAGTCCTAAATATCCTTGTTAACTTTCTGTCCTGTTGATGTGTCTAATACTGACAGTGGGGTGTTAAAGTCTCCCAATATTATTGTGTGGGAGTCTAAGTCTCTTTGTAGTCTCTAAGAACTTGCTTTATGAATCTAGGTGCTCCTGTATTGGGTGCATATATATGTAGGATAGTTAGCTCTTCTTGTTGCATTGATTCCTTTACCATTATGTAATGCCTTTCTTTGTCTTTTTTGATCTTTGTTGGTTTAAAGTCTCTTAATATCAGAGACCAGGGCTGCAACCCCTGCTTTCTTTTTCTTTCCATTTGCTTGGTAAATATTCCTCCATCCCTTTATTTTGAGCCTATGTGTGTCTGCATGGGAGACGGGTCTCCTGAATACAGCACACTGATGGGTCTTGACTCTATCCAATTTGCCAGGCTGTGTCTTTTAATTGGGGCATTTAGCCCATTTACATTTAAGGTTAATATTGTTATGTGTGAATTTGACCCTGTCATTATGATGCTAGCTGGTTACTTTGCCTGTTAGTTGATGCAGTTTCTTCATAGTGTCGATGGTCTTTACAATTTGGTATGTTTTTGCAGTGGCTGGTACCGTTTTTTCCTCTCCATATGTAGTGCTTCCTTCAGGAGCTCTTGTAAGGCAGGCCTGGCTGTGACAAAATCCCTCAGCATTTGCTTGTCTGTAAAAAATTTTATTTCTTCTTCGCTGATGAAGCTTAGTTTGGCTGGATATGAAGTTCTGGGTTGAAATTCTTTTCTTTAACAATGTTAAATATTGGCCCCCACTCTCTTCTGGCTGGTAGGATTTCTGCAGAGAGATCTGCTGTTAGTCTGATGGGCTTCCCTTTGTGGGTAACCCAACCTTTCTCTCTGGCTGCCCTTAACAGTTTGTCCTTCTACCTTGGTGGATCTCATGAGTATGTGTCTTGGGGTTGTTTTTCTCGAGGCGTATCATTGTGGTGTTCTCTATATTTCCTGAATTTGAATGTTGGCCTCTCTTGCTAGGTTGGGGAAGTTCTGGATAATATCCTAAAGAGTGTTTTTCAACTTGGTTCCATTCTCCCTGTCACATTGAGGTACACCAGTCAAACGTAGGTTTGGTCTTTTCACATAGTCCCATATTTCTTGGAGGCTTCCTTTTTATTCCTTTTTTCTCTAATCTTGTCTTCACACTTATTTCATTAAGTTGATCTTCAATCTCTGATATCTTTTCTTCTGTTTGATTGATTCAGCTATTGATACTTGTGTATGCTGCACAAAGTTTTCATGATGTGTTTTGCAGCTCCATCAGGTAATTTATGTTCTTCTCTAAACTGGTTATTCTGGTTAGCAATTCCTCTAACGTTTACTCAACGTTCTTAGTTTCCTTGCATTGGGTTAGAACATGTTCCTTCAGCTCAGGTGAATTTATTACCCACTTTCTGAAGCCTACTTCTATCAATTTGTCAGACTCATTCTCCATCTAGTTTTGTTCCCTTGCTGGCGAGGAGTTGTGATCCTTTGGAGGAGAAGAGGCATTCTGGTTTTTGAAATTTTCAGCCTTTTCATGCTGGTTTTTCCTCATCTTAGTGGACTTAACTACCTTTGGTCTTTGATGCTGGTGACCTTCAGATGGGGATTTTGTGTGGACATCCTTTTTGTTGATGTTGATGCTATTCTTTTCTGTTTGTTAGTTTTCCTTCTAACAGTCAGGCCCTTCTGCTGCAGGTCTGCTGGAGTTTGCTGGAGGTCCACTCCAGACTCCGTTTGCCTGGGTATCACCAGTGGAGGCTGCAGAACAGCAAAGACTGCTGCCTGTTCCTTCCTCTGGAAGCTTTGTCCCAGAGGGACACCTGCCAGATGCCAGGTGGAGTGCTCCTATACGAGGTGTCTGTCAATCCCTGCTGGGAGGTGTCTCCCAGGCAGGAGGCACAAGGGTCAGGGACCCACTTGAGGAGGAAGTCTGTCCCTTAGCAGAGCTCGAGCGCTGTGCTGGGAGATCTGTTGCTGTCTTCAGAGCCAGCAGGCAGGAACATTTACGTCTGCTGAAGCTGACTTCACAGCCGCCCCTTCCCCCAGGTGCTCTGTCCCAGGGAGATGGGAGTTTTATCTATAAGCCCCTGACTGGGGTTGCTGCCTTTCTTTCAGATGCCCTGCCCAAGAGGAGGAATCTGGAGAGGCAGTCTGGCTATAGCACCTTTGAGGAGCTGTGGTGGGCTCCGCCCAGTTCGAACTTCCAGGAAGCTTTGTTTACACTGTGAGGGGAAAACCCCCTACTCAAGCCTCAGTAATGGCAGACTCCCTTCCCCGCACCAAGCTCGAGCATCCCAGGTCGACTTGAGACTTCTGTGCTGGCAGCAAGAATTTCAAGCCAGTGGATCTCAGCTTGCTGGGCTCCATGGGAGTGGGATCCACTGAGCTAGACCACTTGGCTCCCTGGCTTCAGCCCCCTTTCCAGGGGATGGAAAGGTTCTGTCTCGCTGGCATTCCAGTTGCCACTGGGGTATGAAAAAAAAGTCCTGAAGCTAGCTTGGTATCTGCCCAAGTGGCCACCCAGTTTTGTGCTTGAAACCCAGGGCCCTGGTGGTGTAGGCACCCGAGGGAATCTCCTGGTCTGCAGGTTGCGAAGACCGTGGGAAAAGCATAGTATCTGGGCCACAGTGCACCGTTCTTTATGGCACAGTCCCTCAAAGCTTCCCTTGGCTAGGTGAGGGAGTTCTCCGATCTCTTGTGTTTCCTGGGTGAGGTGATGCCCAACCCTGCTTCAGCTTGCACTCTGTACGCTAGACCCACTGTCTAACCAGTCCCAATGATATGAGCCGAGTACCTCAGTTGGAAATGCAGAAGTCACCCGCCTTCTGCATTGATTTTGCTGGGAGCTGAAGACCAGAGCTGTTCCTATTCAGCCATCTTGCCAGCCACCTCCCGTCTCAGGTATTTCTTTCTGGTAATGTAAGAATGGCCTAACTCACCAGCCATGGGGTCATATACCTGCAGTCATAACTGAGGCTGAGGCAGGAGGATTGCTTGGGCTCAGGAGATTGAGGTTAGAGTAAGCTAGGATTGCATCACTGCACTCCAGCCTGGGTGTCAGAGTGAGACTCCTATCTCTAATTTGGAAAATATGTATGTGTGTCTGTTTGTACCAAAGAAATGATAAATGCTTGAGGTGATGGCTTCACCAATTGCCCTGATTTCATCATTACACATTATATCTTGTGTCAGAATATCACAAGTACCCCATAAACATGTACATTTATTATATATCTGTAACCAAAAATTTAAAAAAATAAAAAAATTTATGTGCAGAAAAAAGAGATAAATGGACAATTTAATTAAGGACAGAGGGAAAAGAAGATTCAAGCTTCTACGAATAGTATCAAGAGGGTTAAATCCAAAGTGTAATGAGAATTGGGATAAAAGCTAAAGAAAAAAAGGCTTTTATAACCAGGTTTGCAGTCAAGAGAACAAAGAGGGATGAGGCTCAGTTTATGGCAGATGATGTCATGATGAAAAGAAAAAGTAATTGGGTAAAGTTCCAATTCCTTTTTATTTTTTGTATATATTATCCATTCATAGTGGTAATTTTCTTCAACATACTAATAGTAGACCAAAATGGTTTCAAGGTACTAGAGAGATAGTGAGACTGAATCTCACTACTGTAACAGAGTTGATATCTTAGGTCCAAACACATTTTGTTTAGAGATAAAGTCACAGAATCACTGTCAGTAATATTTCAGGAATTTGTATTAATTAGTATGGGCTCCATAAGTCATAAGATAGATAAATGTTGATTCATTTTTCAAACAGATAATAACTATAATCTACAGTTGAGTAAGTATAATATCCATGGCAAAAAATTAGGACACATGATTAAGAAGATTAACATCTTAGAAACATAGATAGTAAAAATTAGTAGTCTTCCTGTGTTTGATAAATATATGCTAAACTAATTTCCGATTTTCTTTTTCTCATAAATGTACTAGGTTAGAAATTAATGTGAATTATATAGAACCTTAGACAAATCTTCCTTAATAAACTTGTGGATTAACTTTTAAAAGTTAAAAGTAGGTTCATAACTTGTTGTACAAGTGTATCTTAGAGATAATTTAATGAACTCATGCAAGCCTGCAGGTATTTGTAGCAGTCAGAACAAACTATTTTATCCTCTATTCTAGTCCACTCTTTTTATTAGGATTTGAAATGAAAATGTAGCAGGCAAGTTTATCAGAATACACACAGCTGAGAGGAATAATTGAGCAAGATGAACTATAATACGTATAAACCTCTTCCAAAATCAGTTACAGATATACAAGAGGAATTAGAACCAAGTTAGCAAGAGTTCCCATAAAAAAACACAGTTAATCCAAATCAAAACCACAATGAGATACCACCTCTCACCAGTTAGAATGGCAATCCTTAAAAGGTCAGGAAACCACAGATGCTGGAGAGGATGTGGAGAATTAGGAGTGCTTTTACACTGTTGGTGGGAGTGCAAATTCGTTCAACCACTGTCCACAGTGTGGTGATTCCTCAAGGATCTAGAACTAGAAGTACCACTTGACTCAGGAATCCCATTACTGGGTATATACCCTAAGGATTATAAATCATTCTACCGTAAAGACACATGCACACGCATGTTTATTGCGGCACTATTCACAATAGCAAAGACTTGGAACCAACCCAAATGTCCATCAATAATAGACTGGATAAAGAAAACGTGGCACATGTACACCATGGAATACTATGCAGCCATAAAAAGGATGAGTTCATGTCCTTTGCAGGGACATATATGAAGCTGGAAACCATCACTCTCAGCAAAATATTACAAGGACAGAAAACCAAACACCATATGTTCTCACTCATAAATGGGAGTTGAACAATGAGAACACATGGACACAGGGAGGGGAACATCACACACTGGGGCCTATTGGGGGGTGGGGGGCTGGGGGAGGGGTAGCATTAGGAGAAATACCTAAAGTAAATGAAGAGTTGATGGGTGCCGCAAACCAACATGGCACATGTATACCTATGTAACAAACCTGCACGTTGTGCACATGTACCCTAGAACTTAAAGTATAATTAAATGCTCATCATCACTGGCCATCAGAGAAATGCAAATAAAAACCACAATGAGATATCATCTCACACCAGTTAGAATGGCGACCACTAAAAAGTCAGGAAACAACAGGTGCTGGAGAGGATGTGGAGAAATAGGAACACTTTTACACTGTTGGTGGGACTGTCAACTAGTTCAACCATTGTGGAAGTCAGTGTGGCGATTCTTCAGGGATCTAGAACTAGAAATACCATTTGACCCAGCCATCCCATTACTGGGTATATACCCAAAGGATTATAAAACATGCTGCTATAAAGACACAGGCACATGTATGTTTATTGCAGCACGATTCACAATAGCAAAGACTTGTGACCAACCCGAATGTCCAACAATGATAGACTGGATTAAGAAAATGTGGCACATATACACCATGGAATACTATGCAGCCATAAAAAATGATGAGTTCATGTCCTTTGTAGGGACATGGATGAAGCTGGAAACCATCATTCTCAGCAAACTATCACAAGGACAAAAAACCAAACACCGCATGTTCTCACTCATAGGTGGGAATTGAATAAAGAGAACACATGGACACAGGAAGGGGAACATCACACACTGGGGCCTGTTGTGGGGTGGGGGAGGGGGGAGGGATAGCATTAGGAGATATACCTAATGTTAAATGAAGAGTTAATGGGTGCAGCACACCAACATGGCACATGCATACATATGTAACAAACCTGCACGTTGTGCATATGTACCCTAAAACTTAAAGCATAATAAAAAAATTAAAAAACACATTTAAATATTTCAGCTGACAAGGGCACAATGTAAGCCATCAGTGTGTCTTGACTTCCAAAAAATCTGATGGAATTTTAATATGAGTAAAGTTTAGGTTGGTGCAAAAGCAATTGCAGTTTTGGCCATTATTTTCAGTGGCAAAAACCACAATAACTTTTGCACCAATCTAATATATTGTTCATGTCAAGGGCAGCAATGTGATTAAGAGTTACAGGCTTTAGAGTCAAAGAAAATAGGTATCAGTCTGTCAACTTAGATAAGAGGTTTTATCTCTATGTGCTTTCTTTCCATTACCTATGAAACACTACATCATATGGCCCCTGCTAACTTTCTGATTCACCTCCTAACTTGCTTATTCTTCTCTAGCCACACTGGATGGCTTGCTTTCCCTAAATATCACTATCTCTGCCAAGCTCATCTCACTTCAGGGCCTTTTCTGCTAGCCTTTCCCTCTTCTGGGCAGACTGTCCCACTAGGCAGTTATTTGGCTCACTCCTTTATTTCATTCAGGTTTTTTCAAATGCTGCCTCCCTATGGCAGCCTTCTTACACCTACATATCTAACCTCCATCCCCAAAACCTTCCAGCTTAGCACTTCCTGTCTCCTTCTATGCTTTATTTTTAAACAGTACTTATTTCAATGTTGAGTTATATTATTTCTTGTTCAGTTGTCCATTTCCTCCACATGGTTACCTGGTCTCTACAGTACTAATAATGGTAACTATTAACATTCCTGACAATTGCTATGCACTAGGCGCTCTTCTAAATGTTTCACATAGATAGCTTGATATTAAAACAAATCTTAAAATCTCATTTGCAATAGAAGAAACTGAGGCATAGAAAGTCTAAGTTATTTTCCCCCAGGTCACAGACTAGTAAATAGTAGTCTGCATTCAAATCCAGTAAGTGTGGCTCTGAAGACTGAATCCTTAACCGTTATTCTATAGTGCCTCACTGTAGGTGCCAGCTAACATTTTACTGGATGACTAAATACAAAATTTGAAAAAATTACTACACTAAAAAATATATGCATCTCAAATATTTAGGGCATATAATAAGTATGCAATAAATGTTCATAATATTAGCATTATTACTATTCTGTGCTGGTAAAAACATTGCTGGAATATGATGTTCAGCTTTATTTAAGGATTATTCAACATATTGGAATATATCTTTTAAAGAGGGCTCAAAATGATGAAAATTTGAGAAATTATGTCACTTGACAGAAGGTTTGTAGTGGTTAGGAATATTAGGCTAGTGAATAGTCTTAATGCAGGCATCTAATAGTCTTCAAATCTATGAATGCCTTCAGAAGGAAGAACAGTGATGTGTGAATGCAAGTTATAAGGAAATAGATTTTTCACATCTATAAGGATGACTTTTTCATAAATGTTGCTGATCAAAGGGTCATGGGCAGCCTTTGTAAACAGTTATCTCTTCTGTAATAGCCAAGCATTGGGTTAATATTAGTGGAAGTTCTCTGAAATTCTGCTCTAACAATGTCTACTTTTATAGTCTCTCCCTTAGATCTACCAGATTATTAAACTACTTTGTCATGAGAGGTGTGTTTGTATCTTTCTCTTATTTATGAAATATAGTTTAAAAAATTAGATTTAAAAACCTCAGAAAAAGCCAGGTGTGGCTGGCATCTATAGTCCCAGCTACTTGGGAGGCTGAGGCAGGAGGATCGCTTAAGCCCAGGAGTTCAGAGCCAGTCTAGGTAGGTGACCAGACTAGTGACACCCCTGTCTCTAAAAATAAATAAAATAAAATATAATAAAAATATCAGAAAGAGTCAAGGAACTAAAGGATAAGTGAAGAGAGAAAACTACCAGGTTAGTCATTTCCTCATTATATTCTTACAGCAGTCTCTGAGGTAAGTGCTATTCTGATTTCATGCCTAAGGTTCAGGGACAGTGAGTAATTTATTCAGGTGAGTTGCAGGGTAAGCAAGAAGCAGAGTAGTAGTTTGACTACAAGTTAGTGTAGTTAAAAACCTGTTCTCAGTCTACCACATTGTATTATTATGATTTTTTCCTTCTGGAAGGAATTCCTTGTAGTTTTTACTCAACTCTGCTGTAGTTTCAACATAGGCTGACACATTTGGTTTCCTTAATTATATTAATTTGCTTGGCAGAAAAGTTCTCTCCTTTTTATGAACAAGAACTTCAACAATCCAGTGTGATAAAACATGCCTTGGAAGGAATAAAATACTGTGGAATTTTATGGATATGTTTATCCTCAGTCAAATTTCTCTCCATGGTGTAGGTCTGACCACTGGGCATTGGACACTTATATTTAAAGTCTGATAGTTTGAATTTGAATTTTGAACATTTCCCTTATTACTTTTGTATATGAAGTATGCCATATGAAACACGATGAATTTGCTTCAAACACACGACCTCGATAGGCGTTTGAAATATTTAAGCTTGTTGAAAATGTGTTTTAGTAGTGCCACTGACAATAGGTGATTCTGTTTTTTCATTCTTACAACATGTTTTACAGTTGTAAATTCTTGTTCCTTTATCTGAAGGCCTTTCCAGCTTATCATATACTAATTTTATCAAAGAGTATTCTCTACATCCTACTTTTTGGTATAAGTAAATGCAAGCACAACTTTTACTCTCCCTTGGATGAGTTTTTGACTCTTTCATTTTTCCTGATAAAAATAGTGCGATCTTGGTTTGACATGTTTTGGTGAAATGATAGCTCAGTTATTTTCCAAGGCAACTAACTGTATTTGATCGAGAGAGAAAAAAATTTTTTTAAAATGCTGCATTGTTTAAGCTATAGATTTTTAGTTGATCTTTGATTTGATAAAGAGATATTTTAAAAGTTCAAATGAATTTCAAGGGACTTGGCATTTCATATTTATATTAACTTATTTCTTCTACACCTTGATTTTATGAAAAATGTGTATTTTTTTTTTTACTTCTCTAAATCAAGAAATCAAGGTCACAATCCAGATCTGGTCCTTTGGTGATGTGATTCACTGTTGATCATGGCAAAGGTTATTAAGAAAATAAATGAAAGCCATGTTCCAGTACATTAGTTCTACTCCATCTGTCTAAAGGAATATTAGCAGTAGGCAGAATATATGCCACAAAATGGGCATACTGTGACTTTAGAAATGGGATTCAATGCACTATTAGAATTGGATAGTTCTGCCCTTTCTTAAAAAAATATGACTATGACCAGGACAGTCAATCTTACTGAGAACTATGGTATATAAGTGTACAGACTCTTCTGATTATGGCTTTGATTATTTTATATACTATGACTGTCTTACCTTCATTGAGTACTGTTCTCAAGTAGCTCAAAATATTACCACTATAACATCTTTTCCACAATGATTATGCCCTTTGCACAAAGGAACTGCTATATCTGACTCTATCTCATAGATGAGAAATAGATTTGAAAAAAGTAAAAAGCCTTGTTCAAAGTCAAGAAAAAAATTTACCGTCAGAATTGGGACTCAACTTCCCATGAGATGGTTCCCTGTCCGGTGCTATTTCCGTTCAAGTGCCTCTAGTTTTAAAACATTTTCTAGTATGTACTTCTTGTGGGTCAGTTCATTCTTTGGATAAGACATTGTTTTCTTCAAAGAGTTTATGCTTCACTAGTATTTTTAAGCCTTGAAATTGCTACTAAATTTAAAATGAAGAGAGCTTTTTCCTTTTTTTCTTTTTTTTTAATTGAGATGGTGTCTCACTCTGTCACCCAGGCTGAAGGGCAGTGGCACCATCTCGGCTCACCGCAACCTCCGTCTCCCGGGTTGAAGTGATTCTCCTGCCTCACCCTCCCAAGTAGCTGGGATTACAGGTGCGCACCACCGTGCCCAGCTAATTTTTGTATTTTTAGTAGAGACCAGGTTTCGCCATCTTGGTCAGGCTGGTCTGGAACTCCTGACCTCAGGTGATCTGGCCACCTCGGGCTCCCAAAGTGCTGAGATTACAGGCATGAGCCACTGCGCCTGGCCCTCTTTACTTAAAATAAATTTAGTAGTCTCTGTATTTAGAAAAACCATCATATGCTAGTTATTGGTCCTATAATGGCATTTCAGACAGTTCTACTATAGCTGCCTAAAAGACAAGCTCCTACTTAGGTCAGGTACGTGGCTGAGAGGTCAAACTGCATGGGTTTGAATCTCAGATCTACCACTTTCTGGATGTAAGAGTCTGAGAAATTCCCAAGGCTCTCACAAACTTCACGTTCATAATTGGGTGACAGAAGTACTTAATGCATAACTGTGTTTTGTGAATACTATGAAATGTAACTTAGAGATAATAATTAGCATGTGGCCCGAGAGAGAAACACAAAAAAGGGTAAATTATCACTGTTTTACATTCGTGAAGTCACATCTCACTAAGAGCATACATTTCAGAGGAATGGTCCTTCTGTGAATTATACAATGCTTGGCCACTTGGTGAAAGCACATCACTTAAGGACTCTAATTACATTTTTAAAAATTGGTCAAAATTTACTGGATTAAATGTAGTGCCAAGTTAAAAACACCTTTGAGTATATAATCGGGGAATATTAAGACTTTTTAGAAACTTCAGTCCTCAGGATCTTAGATGAAAGCAGGGAGATGATCCTTCCATCCCCCATTCCCCATCACTAGGAAAAAAATATTTTTGTAATAATATTCACCCAGATTAGAAATCCCTAGTCTATTATAGGAGTTTTATTTACTGTTGAGAAACTCTAAAATAGTAAACAGAGAAAAATGTATATAATAAGCAAAAGTATTAGTTTTCTCTATCAACTCTAGGAGCTGAATTTTGAGAACAGGGTTGCCTTGGCTAGGTAGGCTGGCTGTGTGCTATGGCAAAGCCCTGTGTCTTTCACCTTTGATGGGCTTTGTTGACGGCAAAATTAGAAAGACCCTAGACATCATGACTTTGAATTAATTTCTTCTGATTAGGATTATTCACCCTCCAGCTTTTTCTATGATATACCTAAAGTAAGACAAGTCCTTTAGCCAACTAGAACAGAAAAGAGTAGGTACCAGGACCTCAAGATGGTTCACCAAGTATATTAATATTACTCTTTAAAGAATATAAAAAAAAATTAGAATAGAGCCATTTTCAACATGGTCCTCTAAGAGTATTCTGATAGAAAAGCCAGGACATGACTCCGCTGCATCTTTAGATTACAAAGCATACCTACTTTCATAAATTCTGTGGATCCTCATGTGTATCCTATTAAATTGACTGAAAAAGAGTCATTACTTTCATTTTACAGATAGAAAAATTGTTCACAGAGCACTTTTATAATTTAACTAAGCAGGATCTAGGTTTCTGTTATATTGAGTTCTTGTACAGGTTACTTTTTAGTACACCATACTAACAGCATCACTGAGAAATGAAATATGCAACATACAGGCCCTCCTTGGTCCTCTTTGCTAGGTCTCCTTCTCTATCCAGTCTGGAAACTTTGAAGTCACCTGGCTCAGCCCTATGTCCTTTTGTCTCTAGCTGCATTTTCTCCTCAGGGTATCTCATCCACAAATATGGCTGTAAATACCATCTGTATTCTGATAATTCCCAAATTCTTTTCACTGCGCACACCTTGAGCTCTAGATTCTTCTAATTGCCGCTTTACTTTTACACTTGGCGCTCGAATAAGCATCTTAAACAACTACAACACAGGTCTTAGTTCACTCCTCCAAACCTATTTCTTTCCCATTTTTTCCCATGTCAATTAGAACCTAGAAGTAATCCTTGAGCTCTCATTTTGCATCATTCTTCATATGCAATTCACTATCAGGTCTTTCTTAGAGCAATCTCCAAATTATATCCTGAATGAAACATGAAGCACATTTGAATATGAGAATTTGTGATTTCATTCTATTTGGAAATTTGTAACCACATCTCTTTAGGTATAGTCTGTCATATTTTCCTTTCTTGCCTTTTTAAAAACACTATTATTTTATATTCTCTTTCAAATCGCTGCTTTATTAAAGTCCTTGTGTTGCTAATCCTGGTTTTTGTCACTACTGACTCACTAATAGTGAATTGCTTCTTTATGTAATTTTTCACTGTAAGCTCCTCTCTCTTTTTTCTGAAAAATATTTTTTTGTGGTATAATAGCATAGGGTAAAGTGTACTGATATTTGCTTTATAGTCCAACTAATTTTTACATATGCATACAGTTATGTAACCACCACCTAGATAAAGACCACCATAGCTGATTTTAAGCTACCAATGTGATGTCACTGAACATGGAGCTGGGAAGAGATGCCTAGAATCGGCTCCCATGGACAGGTGGTAACTGGTTCTAGCACATCATTAGGAAATTATTTCCAATTCCTTTGGATAAGATTCAAACTCCTAATCACGATCTGCTTCTTGTCTACCTCTTCAACTTCATTGTATACCAGTCTGCCATTACCTACTCATATTATAGCAACACTGGCCTCTTCCTGCCCCTAGCATATGACAAACTCATTCTTGTCTCTGGGTCTTGAACTTGTTGGTCTCTCTGACCCAGCTCTTCCCATAGCTACTAAATCTTATCCTCCCCAATTCAGCAGTACAACGTCATATACAGTACTTAGAAAGACTCTGCCAGGTCATCTAATCTAAATTAGTTCCTCCCAGTCTTATCTTAAAATTTCTATTTCCTTCTTCCATAGCACAAATTGGAATCTGCCGTTTTCATTTTTTCTAGTTCTTTGTTATCTGCCTCTGCACCTGAATTTAGGCTGCATGAAGGCAGAGACCTTGACTGTCTTATTCACCACTGTATCACAAGGCCTGGCTCAGGGTCTGACAAGGAGAAGGTGCTTAATGCATGTGCTGAGTGAATGAATGGACACATGGATGGTAGAGTTATAAAGAAGTGAGTGATTAATTCACTTAGGGGGTGTAAAATGGTATCATAAAATTGAAATGCATCATTTTAGATGTAAAATAGCACATTTTAAGAATGAGGCAGTCACCTCTAAAGGGATAGCATTAGAGTAGGTGTTTTGGGGTCAGATAGCCACGAGTTTAAATACCAGGTATGCCACTTACTTAACATCTCTGAGCCTAAGTCTTTCTTAATCTATTTATTTCTTTTTTTTTCTTTTTTTCTTTTTTTTTTTTTCCAGAGGGAGTTTTGCTCTTGTTGCCCAGGCTGAAGTGCAATGGTGTGATCTCGACTCACTGCAGTCTCCGCCTCCCGAGTTCAAGCAATTATCTTGCCTCAGCCTCCCGAGTGACTGGGATTACAGGTATGTGCCACCATGCCCAGCTAATTTTGTATTTTTAGTAGAGACGGGGTTTCTCCATGTTGGTCAGGCTGGTCTCGAACTCCCGACCTCAGGTGATCCACCTGCCTTGGCCTCTCAAAGTACTGGGATTACAGGTGTCAGCCACCGTACCTGGTGTCTTTCTTAATTTCTAAAATGAAGGTAGTATTTATGGCTAAATTTTAGAATATATAAAATAGGGCTGGCAGAGCATATCTGTTCAATAATTGGTAATTATTATTATCACTATAATTATCATGATGTATAATTTGTGGTGGATCAGGACATATCATAAATACAGAATAATTCTCATATTTGTTTTTATACTTGCTTATTTTAAATGCTAACCCATTTAAATTTTTACAAATTATTTCCCAGAGATCTCAAAGGAGTTCCATATTATCTATTCCACACATTTGAGAACAAGTGTCATTAGTTTTATTTTACTAATGAGGAAAACAAAAATATTCTGTTACCAGTGGTTACAAAGCAAATCTCTGGGAGAGCTGGTCTCAGAACTAAGGCAATCTATATCCAATTTCCTGCACTTTCCTCTGAAATGTGTCTAGCATGAAAACATCACAGTAGTATTTGATGTAATATAGAGAGTGTGCAAAAATTAATCCAGAGCCAAATATTCAGGAGTCAATAGATAAAAGCATTGATAATAATTGCCGAATAATATAAAAAGCAAGTTTATAGTTCTTACATTGGTTGCATTTTTGTGGTTTGTTCTTATAACAGCATCTGCACAACTTGTTCTCTTGGTAATAAGAAGCTTTCTTTTTCAAGGTCGCCCAAAGGCCATGCCAGTGCAGTTACTGTGACTTTAGGATGCTGTGCTGCCATAAGTTTCTGGGTGCCCTGTGATCCAGTGAGTGCTGCTTCTCTCTCTCTCTCTCTCTCTCTCTCTCTCTCTCTCTATCTCTCACTCACTCTCACTCTTGCTCTTGTTTTCATTCTCTTGCTCTCACTCCCTTGCCCTTACTCCCAGGCCGTTTGATATTCTCACACATTGAAGTTATTGTCTACTGAGACATTAATACATTCTATTTTATTGCCAACTGGCTTAACTGAATAAACAAATATTTCCAGCAATTTTATTTTCACTCATTCATGCTGACAATCCAGTTTATAACAATACCTAACATAACATTTTCTTCTTGTTTCCTCAGGGCTTTGTGTATAATGTGTTAATGCACAGCAATCAGAGAGAAATAATTGAGACATACCTCCAAAGTTTACTAATGTTTACTCTGTTGGCAACTCAGAAAAATTTATTTTTTAAAAATCAGCTTTTAAAATGTATTTATTAAGTTTGACAGTCAAGTACTTCATATTTTTTTTCTCTCCTTTCTTTCCCCTTATACCAAAGCTACAGATTACTTTGCCTTCAAACTGTCTGAGAGTTGAAAAGCTTACAATCACAGACATAGAGCATCCAAATTCAATTTGAACTTTAGGAAATATTGGTAGCAAAAGTAGGGTGTTTTTCATTTTATTTAAATCATATTTCTTCTGTTCAGTTTCCAGAAGAGAACTTGGGGAAGGGATGCAGTGCGAATCAGTGACCTGTTATTAGGAGACCACTCGCATTTTGGCAAATGCCCAATATCAAGGCTTGAGGTAGAAATGAGTGTGTAACCCCTTAAAATTGTTGGCTTGTAACCTCAGTGATGGCTTTCATGACCTGTAAGCTCATATATGACCAGGATCTACGCAAGCATGGCTTCAGGAAGAAAGATGGTTAAGATCACTGCTTCTAGGAAAGGAGAAGATGCTGGGCAGAGAGGAATTTAAATTTTACCAGAAGAAGGAAAATGGTCGGGACAGGACAGTAGGGGAATAAGATAAGGTCTTTCTGCATCCCTAAGTTATGAATAAGAAGGCAGAGGCTGGGTGCCCTGGTCTCCTCCTGCCTTCTGAGCATTGCGACCAGACCCACCTCTTCTCAGGTAGGTGATGTTTCCAGCCCTCCTCACACTTTTTCAGCATCTTCCTTGGGGGAAAGTGAAGCTAAAAGAAATCATGGCTTCCCGTATCTTATTGACTTTATGATCCCACCCATCCTCTGCTCTTTTCTGCTCTTTTTACTTCCAGTGAAAAAAGGCAGAAACAATGAAACTGTACTTTCTTATTCTATGATGTGGTTATGTTACAAATTTGTGGTTTAATACTGGCGATCAGAATTGTTGGCTATTTGTTGGAGTTATGGCTAGCTTCAGTAATTCTTTCCACATTTTCTCTTTCAGTAGAATCCAAAAGAAAAATTATTGAAACCAAGGAGAAAAGGTACTTTTTTCTGGGGCTCAGTTCTGGCAAGTCATCAAAGGCTGGGTACAGGATAGTAAAATATTTTACTCAATAAACATTAATTCAGTGCCACTACGCATTATTTTAGGTGGGTAGAAACACAGCAATGAATACAACAGAGGAGACAGACAAGGTCTTTGAAGATTGTCTACTGCCCACACTTTGCCCCAGTCTAGTGAGAGGAAACAGACAATCTGAAGTTAAAATAAAATCAAGTTAACTTTAGGTAGTGGTATGTGAACTGAAGAACATTAAAGAGGGCTATGTGAGGGGTAGTGACCCAAGTTGGGCAAAGTAAGGAATCATTTCAGCCTAAATGGCAAGCTAAAGTAAAATAGTTCAATTTAGGAAAATATAATATTCCCAGGAAATTCACATGAAATGGTCCTTTCAAGTCTTCCATAACTTATTGTCCATACATCTTTGCAAAGAGAGGCCAGAATGATGAGGGTTCCCAAGTTAAGGGCGATATTGAGTAATTAATCATTACTTGCTGATTATGCATTAGTGATATCATGAAACGCAAAATTAGGATAATTTTTTCAAGTTACTGTGTAAAAGTCTGCCATTTGGTATTTCAGATCAAGTGTCACATTGTATAGAGCAACTCCCAAACCGTACTGCATAAAGTTTTCCTTCTAGTGGTTTTAGAAAAATGAGACACAGCTCACAAGGCTGCCCCTGCAAGACCATGTATAAATGGCATGAGAGTCTGTAAATGACTACAAAATGTTTGAAATATATATCAGATATTTTTTGGCAAGATTTTTACAATTAAGTGGAACCAAGATAGAGAGAGAATTCTTATTCTCACACCGGGGTTGTATTTATTTTTCTTTTCCTGACAAATGGGACCCACAGCTTGCATTTGAAGAGAAGAATACCCCAAGAATCACTTAACTCTCACTCTCTCCATGACAAGAGTAGAATACACTTGTACCCTAAAAGTGTTGAATCCTTACAATTAAAGAGCTGTCTTGTAGGGTGTTTTGCTGGGAAACATTATAGTCATGTTGTTAACTTTTATAATTCTACAGCTCTCAAGAAAATTTCTGCGCACTTTGAACAAAAAGCACACTGACACTGTGGGATTTACTGTCCGCATGTACTAAGTGCCTTTTGGGAAAATGTCTCTTAGATTTCATTGTCTTCCTTCTGCCTTTTAAAATCTAATATACTTCAATTTCACTGAGTTAGGCTGTTTTCTCCATAGTGTCTCTCAACGACATTTCCTCGAGTTAGGTAAACAAATTCTGTCGGGCTGTCATATTCTTTTTCATTTGGGTTTTGGGAACTTTAAATGATGCTAGGAGTAGCATATTTATAGTCTCTCAATATAATTGTAAATTCCAATAGAGAATTTTTAGTGATAAAAATGTTAATATGTTTAAGAAAGGGCCTCACTTTCTTCACCAGTAAAATGAGGAAGTTGATATTTAATGAACCAAAATTTCTACAGTTCAGTGGAAGACAAAGCTACATGTGACTTATAAATACAGCATTCATAAAAAGGAGCTCTTGTTATTTTCTTGGAGTTTGCAGAAGACAGCTGTAGCTGGACTCCTGCCTGGACAGATTGTGTGCTTTCCATTTTCCAGGTGTAAATCATGAAACTCTTTGGCCTTTGCCCTGAGCTTTTGGTCTAAGCCTCAGCCTAAAACTTTCTCTCTGGAATGCAAAATTAAGATCTCTTACATTTCTACCCTTCCTCACCATAGTCCAGCTCTTCTGTCCCATTTGTAACCCTATTTTGCCAATGAAACAAGCTCAACCCTGCCTTAGGTCTTTCACAACCTGCTTTTCTTTTTACTTGGGGTATGCTTTTCTCTCTCTTTTTATGCCTAGTTGTTTTTCAGAGCTGCCAATTAACTTCTTGGTTCTTAATTTTAAAATATGGGCCTCCATTCAAACTTTACCAGATATCAAAAGTCTCTATTGCAATAGTGACTAAAACAATTAGAAAAGAAAAAGCAACTTGAAAGCAACAGACGATGCATGGAGAAGAAAATGTTAAAGGCCAATCCATACAACCAAGACAACAACAAAAGCACTATCCTTATATATATATTTAGAGTTAAAAAACATCGCAATAAGGAAATATTGAATTCTAAAGAAAATACAACATTCAAAGGACAATAAAGTGCTGTTGAAGTTAAAAAATGCTAGTAGACATGAAAAACAGGAGTTTTGAAAGATAAGAATAGAAAATTTCCAAGGAAAAAATCACACAAATATTGAATAATTACATAAATAAGAAAGAATCAATCAGAAGGCTTTAAATATAAATACTAGGAACTCCAGAAAGAAACTAAAAATAGATAATTGAAGTAAAGTATCCATCAGTAAAATAATTTTTTAAAACTTTCAGAACTGAAGAACATGAGTTTATAGATTAAATGGGCCTCTCAGGTGCCCAGCACAAATGATAGAAATGGACATATCAGTAAAATTTCAGAACACAAGGAACCAAGAAGAGATACCACAAACTTCCAGAGCACACAAACAAACAAACAAAAAAAACCCATCAGACATATTTCTGACATCTCAACTGAAATATTAGATACCATGGAACAATGCATTCAAACTTCTGAAGGAAGAAAGGATTCTCCCAACCAATACTGCAAATAAAATGCAAGCAGGATAGTGATGTGTTCAGGCATGCAAGTCTCACAATTTTATCTCCAACTCATTTTTCCTAAGAAGGTTATGAGATACTGTGTTACCAAAATCAAAGAGTAAACCAAGGAAAAAAAGCATGAAATACATGAAACAAGAGACCTAACACATGCTAAGGGAAAACAGAATATTGGTGAAGGAACAGTTTGTGAAGACATCTTTTACCATATCGATAGAAATGAATAGAATACTGGGCACATTTGAACATTATGAAAGGAGACTTAGACAATGGAGAAAAGCTTGAGGTTGAATAAGTGCTAAGGACATATACATTAAACAAATGAACAAAATGAGATAATTGCTAAATCCAGTTTAACAAGAGGATAGGCAACAAGGAAAAGTAATTACAGTTTGTTAAATGGGTCAGCTGTGAATAGAAATATACAATATATTGATATGAGTACAATTATAATGGGGATTTGGTAGATGGGAAGGTTGTACATGTATGGTAGAAGCAAGAGAAGGACAGAAACTAAATTCTTGTCTTCCACAGTCAGAAATAACAGTTCATGCCTAAAATAGAAAAATCTAGATATGTTTCTATAGCTTTTAAGTAAACTATTTATTCTGGAATAACTTTAGATTCACAAGTATTACAAAGGTAACACAGAGTTCTCTTATACTCCTTAACCCATTTTCCCCTAATATTAATATCTTACATTACTATGGTACATTTGTAAAAACTGAGAAACCATCAATGGGACATTACTATTAACTGGACCTCAGATTTTATTAGGATTTCAACAGTTTTGCTGTTAATGTCTTTTTTTTTTCTGTTCCCAACCCTATCAAACATTACATTTAGTTGTTATGTCTTGTTAGTTTCCTCTGGACTGTGACAGTTTCTCTATCTTGACTTGTTTTTCATAACCTTGACAGTGTTGAGGAGTACTGGTGTAGTATTTTGGAGTATGTCCCTTAATTTTGGTTTATCTGATTTCTTTTCTCATGATTAGACTTGGGTTATGAATTTTTTTGAAAGAATACCATGGTAGTGGAATGCCTCTCCCATCTATAGATCAAGATATCTATATATCACTGATATCTTGATCAAGGTAGTGTTTGTCAGATATCTCTATTTTTTCCTGTTCCGTACTCTTTTCTTTGGAAACCAATCACTAAGTCCAGTCCACATTAAAGCGTGAATGGAGGAGTATAAAGCTCCTGTAGGAACGCAGTATCTACACGTATTATTTAAAATTCTCTGTAAGAAATATTTGTTTCTTCTCCCACTTTTTTTATTCAATAATTTTTTTCATATCACTATGAACTTGTATATTTAGAGTTTGGGTTGTAATCCAATATTCAATTCTTCATCTTTCTTGTGTTATTTCTGTTCTGGCCATGAGAAAGTGTTTCCACTTGGCCCCTTTGTCCCTCAGCATTCCCTACTTGCTCCTTTTGTTATTTGAGCACTTTCTTATTTTCTGGAATGAAAAAATTTTCCAGATTCACCTTCTATTTTTCCTGCACCAGTCTTAACATCAGCCATTTCTCTAAGGATTCCTGGTACTTTTTATTAAAGAACAGTGTTCAGAGAAAGGATTTGAGTATACAATTTTTAATAAACGAATAAAAATTTTAAAAAGAGAATACAGGTAATTCCTGAAATTTTTTATGTAACAAAATATTTATTTGTATAGTTTCACGTTGCAGAAATATTTCAGGATAGAAAACCTTATGTAGCCTTACCTAGAAATTATTGATTTGTGAAAATTTGTTTAGTAACTGCATTATGGAGGTAAAAACGAGATAAAAAGAACCTATATAACAAAAGGAAAAAATGAACATATTCTGATATGAAGTAAAGGGGTGTAACAAAGGGGGAAATATTTAGAATTAAAAAATAATTTTATGGGGTTGTTCTGCATTTTGCTTAGTCAATAGAGGTTAAGGATCAAACATCTCTAATGAGGACCACAAGGCTAATGGAGAAACAAGTTGTAATGTTGACAGAAAGCATCAACTCTCCAAATATCTTTCTGCAATTTCCTTTCAATCAAATGTAATTTGTGAATGAAGTTGTCATTTGCCTTCTAGCCAATTTTATCTCACAGGAACCAAAGGGATAATGAGAAAAACTGCTACTTTAGATTTAATTCTGAAAATAGTAAAATAAGAAAAGAATTATCTTTTCCTCTGTCAATTCACATAGAACTTAATTTGTGCCTTTCTTTGATGGTAATTATCACTTTTTACCATGTTTTATAGCCATTTGTTTTTATAAAATTGATTTGTCTTATTTATTAGAAGGCAAAATTCCTTGTAGGCAAAATCTCTGTGTCTTACTTCTCATCTTAATATATCTCTCAAAAACCTGCTTAATTCAAGGCAGAAAATAGGAGCTATGTAAACACTAAAAGAAGGCATAAAATAATAAATCGAGAGACTACTTGATGGGGTGAAAATGAAAATAGCCTTAGAGAATGAAATGTTGCCATTAGTAAGTTTAACTAACTAAGGAAAGTTATGTTAGGATGAGTTATATAAACACTTTAGCTTTCAGAAAAGCAAACTTTTTCAAGTCAGAAAATAATTATACATAATCTCATGGCCAGAGATACAACCAAAAAAGTAGAAGCTTATAAGATTTCAAGGATTTTTTTAGATATTGAGTGTTATTTATAAAGGGGAGATTGCAAAGAAGTCTAATTAAAAAAATGCAGAGACATCAAAAATTAACAATGCGAGGTATGTCACCAATGACAAAGGAAGAAAAGATATATGGAATACATCAAAATTTAAAACTTCTATCCTTTAAAGGACAGAACACATTTCTGTCAAAATTTTATCAAAAAACTTTGCATGACTGAATTATGTTGGAAAATTTAAATCATTTATAAGCACAAATATGTCCCTTATTTATTTGATTTATTAATCATTGTGTGGTCTCTTTTTCAGCCATGACCAGCATTAAAAACACAAGTCAAAGTAGATTGAATTTAAAAGCTGACAATTGAATCTCTAAATCAACAAGTGTTAAAAAAAAAAAAAAAAGAAGTCAAAAATATCAAGTCATTGTCAAGACCAATGGCATGGCTCTTCCTCCACTATATTTTCTTTCAGGAGGTTTAGAGTTTCACATCTTACAATAAAGTCTTTATTGTGAATTAATTTATATAAGGATTCAGTTTCATTCTCTTGCGTGTGGATATCCAGTTCTCCTAACACTATTAAAGAGACTTTCCCTTCTCCATTGTGTATTCTTGATTTCCGTGTCAAAAATTAGTTGACTGTATATGCATTGGTTTATTTCTGGGGTCCCTATTCTGTTCCTTTAGCCTATGTGTCTGTTTTTATGCCAGTATCATACTATGTTGATTACCACAGCTTTGCAATACAGTTTCCAATCAGGATGTGTGATGCCTCCAGCTTTGTGCTTCTTTGTTAAAATTGCTTTGGCTATTTGTAGTCTTTCGTAGTTTCATTTGCATTTTAGGATTGTTCTTTCTATTTACGTAAAATAGTCATTGGAATCATGATAAGGATTTCATTGAATCTATAGATCCCTCTGGGTACTACGGGCATTTAAACAATATTTATTCTTCCAATCCACCAATATGGGTTAACTTTTCATTTATTTGTGTCTTCTTCATTTTATCATCAATGTTTTACAGTATTCTTTGTATAGATATGTTACTCTCTTAGTTAAATTTATCTTGGCATAAATTTATGTTAAGATATTTTTGGCTATTACACCAAAAGTATAGGCAACAAACGCAAAAGTAAACAAATGGGATTACATCAAAATAGAAAGCTCTGCACGTCAAAGGAAACAATCAACAGAGTGAAGCTACAGCTTAGGAAATGGTAGAAAATATTTGCAAACCATACATCTGATGAAGGGTTAATATCCAAAATATATAAGGAACTCAAACAACTAAATTAAAAGAAAACAATTAACCCAAATAAAAAATGGGCAAAGGGACTGAATAGATTTTCTCAAAAGAGGGTATACAAATGGCCAACAGGTATAAGAAAAAATGCCAACATCATTAATCAATAGGGAAATGCAAATCAAAACCACAATGAGTTATTACTGCATAGCTGTGAGAATTGGTATTATTAAATAGACAAAAGATAGTAAGTGTTGGTGAGTATGTGGAGAAAAAAGAACCCTTGTTACCCTGTTGGTGGGAATGTCAATTTTTACAGCCATTATGGGAAAAAGTACGGAGCTTCCATGAAAAATTAAAAATGAAACTACCATATGAGTTAGCAATCCCATTTCTGGATATATATCCAAAAGAAATGAAATCAGCATCTCAAAGATACATCTGTGTTCTTATGTTCATGGTGGCATTCTTTATAAAAGCCAAGATACGGAAACAACCAAAATGTCTGTCAGTGTATGAATAGATAAAGAAAATGTGGTGTGTGTGTGTGTGTGTGTGTGTGTGTGTGTGTGTGTGTATGTGTATGTGTGTGTATAAAATGGAATGTATTTAACTACTAAAAAGAAGAAAATCCCACCATTTGTGACAACATGGATAGACCTAGAGGAAAGCAGCCAGACATAAAAAGACATACTGCATGATCTCATTTACATGTGGAATCTAAAAAAAATTAAACTCATAGAAGCAGAGAGTAGAATGGTCGTTACCAGAGCCTGGGGTGGAGGTGAGGAATGGGAAGATGTTGGTCAAAGGATCAACATATTTTACTTTCATTTAAAAGATGAATAAGTTCTGGAAATGTGATGTACAGCATGGTGACTATGATTAATAACAACATACTGTATACTAGAAATTTGCTCAGCGAGTAGATCTTAAGTGTTCTTACCAAAAAAAAAAAAAAAGTAACCATGTGAGGTGATGGGTGTGTTAGTTAGCTTGGTTGTGGTAATCATTTCCCAATGTATACATACATCAAATCATCAAACTCTAAAACTTAAGAATTGTTAATTTAATATACTTTGACTATTTTGTCCAAATAATTTCTTACTGTAGAAAAGGAAATCATAGAGGCATTTGCTTTTTATCAATTCACTTTTGTTTAATTTTTTGGGGGTTATTTTGGGGGCCAAATTTATTTTTCAACAATTAGTTATTGAGAATCTTCTATCTTTTAGGCACCTATAAGGTGCTTGGGATCTATCAGTGAGTGAAAAAGGCAAAAATTCTTGCCCTCATAAAGTTTACATTCTAGTGCAGGGTATACTAGAACAGTTAATTAAGAAAATGGTATACTGAAAATTTGCTAAGAGAATAGATTTTAGGTGTTCTTACTATAAAAAAAGATGGCTATACAAGGTGGTAGACATGTTAATTTCTTGACTGTAGCAACCATTTCACTGAGTATATGTATATCAAAACACCATGTTGTAAACCTTAAATACATATAATAAAAAATCTATAAGGTAATTAAAAATAAAATTGCAAGTAAATTATATATTAGTAAGTGACATATGCTATGGAAACAGAATAAAAGCAGGAAAGAAGTGTAGGAAGTGCTGAGGTATCAGGGGTATTGCATTTAGAAATAGGGAAGTCAGGGAAAGTTTCTGGAAAAGGTAACATTGAACTAAGACTCAAATATGGTGAGAAAGTAGGTCACGAAGCTACCTAGGGGAAGGAAAGATAGGAAGAACAGAAAACAGCCAGTGAAAAGGGGAGTGTGGTTGGTACAACCAAGAAACAGCAAAGAAACCAGATAAGCCAAGCCAGAAAGATAATGAGGTGGGTGAACATAGATCATATTCAGCCTTGCAAGCTATTGTAAGAGTTTTTGGCCTTGAATGGAGTGGGGAGCCAATGAACAATTTTGAGCAGAAGAATGACCTGTTCGCTTATATTGCAATATTGAAAGCAGACTATGGCAAAGTAGAGTAAAATCAGGAAGACTTGGTAGAAAGCTATTGCAATAATCCAGGAAAGAGACAGTGATGGCTTGGACCAGGGTAATAATGGTGGAGGTGGTGAAAATTTGTATGTTTTTAAATAAAAAACCTACAGGGGCCAGGCATGGTTGCTGACACCTGGAATCCCAGCATTTTGGGAGGCCGAGGTGGGTGGATCACTTGAGGTCAGGAGTTCAAGACCAGCCTGGCCAACCTGGTGAAACCCCATCTCTACTAAAAATACCAAAAAAAAAAAAAAAAAAAAAAAGCTGGGTGTGGTGGCATGCTCCTGTAGTCCCAGCTATTCAGGAGGCAGAGGTGGGAGAATCACTTTAACTCAGGAGGCAGAGGTTGCAGTGAGCTGAGATCATGCCACTGCATGGGTAACTGAGTGAGACTTTGTCAAAAAAGAAAGAAAGAAAGAAAGAAAGAGAGAGAGAAGTAAGGAAGGGAGGGAGGGAGGGCAAGAAAGAAAGGAAGAAAGGAAAGAAGGAAGGAAGGAAGGAAGGAAGGAAGGAAGGAAGGAAGGAAGGAAGGAAGGAAGGAAGGAAGGAAGGAAGAGAGAAAGAAAGGGCCCTACAAGATTTACTGATGAATTAGACATGAGGTGTAAGAGAAAGACAAGAGTCAATCTAAGAAGAATGAATTTGCTATCAAGTGAAAAAGAAAAAAATAAAAGGTGGGACAACTGTTGGGTTTTGGATATATTAAGTTTGAAATTGCTGGATGACTAATAGAGAATATCAAATGGGTAAATATTTTTGGTCCAATACATCATTTGGTGGCTCTCCCAGCACACGCAACTGAAAAAATGTGCACATTAGTAGACAAACACCAAGACAAAACTTAAAGCAATTCTATGACTCTGGATAAGATTCCTGATTCAAACAGTATATTATCAAATAATATGCAAAATACTGTGAAATGTTGTTAGGAGTGCAGGGTTAGAAAATGAGATTTGAGTCTTTTATTATTGTGTATAATATGTGGAGCAATTTCTAAAAAACAGCTAGATTGACAAACTAAATTAGATTCCCTAAAGCAGAAAGGAAATTTGTCCAAATTTGCATATAATTATTATATCCAAAGTGCCAAATGGAGAAATGGTAAGACCATCTCTGTTGCTGGAATTGCATAAATGTATTTGTGTTAACATGGTGCAGGAGAATATTGATATTTTGAGTTGATAAGCTGATAAAAGCTTCTTGAGCTTCACAATTCAAGCACAGCATTTCACTTGACTGTAATTCACAACTCTCCTGCAGGCTGAATATTTTATACACAGAGTTAAATACACAAAGTATTAAATGCAATATATTTCTGACAGTATAATTTGAGGCAGAAACCTTCCATCACATTTACATACTGCTGAGCAGATGGGGTGCTCAAGCTTAAGGTATTAGATGAGAATCAGTAAATGAAAGCATATTGTTGGCCTTGTCATGGAAGGCGAAAGCAATAATTTGTGAGTAGCTACTCTTTCCTGGAAGTCTCCTGTGCTCTTTCAAAACAAACACTACATCTTTACACTACAGAGCACTTAATTTTTAAATGTTAAAAAACCCCAGACACTCAGGAGATTAAAATACATGTATTCATTGAATTAGCCCAAGTTTATTGATCCCATTCTTTTACATTTTCCATATTTTAACACACATTATCCCTCTGTTGGGGTAAATTACAAATTATGTGCAACGTTTAGGCAAATTTACCTGGTGATTTCTCAGAACAATGACTAGGCCTCATAACCAGTTAGTAGGGAATTTCAGATTCAAACTCCTTTTTTATCTTCCTCTTTAGCCCAAACAACAAAAGTTTAAGTCAAATATTATCTTTGATTCTTAAAGAAATATTTAAGTATGATTTGGAAATTGTCAGAGATTAACAGGTAAATTCTTCTAAAATGTGGTAAAATTGTAACTAATTCTAATAGGGAAAAATAAACATAAATATGAAAAATAAAAATAATTCAGAATCAACCTTCCTGAGTTAATACAATGAACATAATGTATTGTAATATGCAGAAATAAAATATGCAATCTGTAATATGTATATATATTGTAGTAATGTACATCTGTCTATGGTATATACATATTGTATACAAATAAACAACATTGCTTACACCAATGTTGGCAGAATCTTTCATCATACTTGTTTTTGTTTATCTATTATCAACTTAATATAATATTTACACTTAAAGATTAAGAGTATTTAATAAAGACTGTCTGTCTCCCTTCATGCCTTTCATCTTATCTATTTTTCCTTCCTTTTTTCTTCCCCATTTTGTTTTCTGCTTCCTTCTCATGGCCTCCTCTAGGATAAGGTGAGTAAAGCACCTGTCCTGTGTGCATAATTGAAGGGTGCACCAAACTCAGTAATCAAATAAATAATACTCTATGCAATATTTTAAGAAAAGAACAAAATTCATGCAAAAATCCATTATAAAATATCAAAATTTCAAATAAAGACTAGGTTTGCCAGTACCATGTGGAGCCATATTGGTGCCTGGGGCAAAAGGGAAGATAAGCAATGCTGATCCCATCTGATTATTCTGTTTGTTTAGTGCCCCCTTAATTTATGCACCTGAGGGAAATGCCAAATTTGTTTGAGCCTAGCCTTCGTCTTACTCTGTCTTTCCTGCCTTATTTCCCAGCTTTCTAGACAAAAAATGCAAAACAAATACATACAACTGATCATTTTGCCACACTTGAAACATAATTCTACATGGCATCCTTCCCTAATCAAAGTGATAAGTCTCAGTTACATAAACATACCAGACAAGACTGATAGCATTTAAACTGAATTGAAAAGTACTGAAATCTGTTCTTATAAATTATTTTACTGGGAGCCTTTAAAGATAGTGAATAAGTTGTACTACTCAGAACATAAGGAAAATATATAAATATCTAGTCTGTTTAAGAGGAACACTATGAGGAATCAGGCTTAGACATTTTGGGATCTAAATTCATGAATAATCTGATATTGATTTCTGTTAAATATTTTAGTCACTCAAGTTGGAAAGAAAGATTA
Source organism: Homo sapiens (assembly GCF_000001405.40). Classification (NCBI taxonomy): domain Eukaryota; kingdom Metazoa; phylum Chordata; class Mammalia; order Primates; family Hominidae; genus Homo; species Homo sapiens. Next base: position 93,530,775 of record NC_000004.12, on the reverse strand, counting down.
AGAATCAAGCTCAATGCTGTAGAGATAGAGGGATACACTGATGAATCAGGTATGTGTTCTGGCCCAAAATAGTATATGATCTAGAAGGATAGACAAGCAAAGACAATTACAGTATTAAAAGGAAACCATTTGTGGAGATGGATACATTGTTAAGAAAGTTTAATGGAGGAAGAAAATATTTTAGGAAAGACATCATAGTACAACTGAGGTAGACCTTGAAAATGAAGAACGAATAGACAGAAAAAGAAGGCAGGCAGAGGAGTGCATTCCTGATGGAGGGAAAGAAATGAGCAATACCTGATATGTAAGAACATTGCAGAGTATAAGACAAAGCCAGCAACTTGGTTTGATAGTAATGTATGGCATGTGAAAGGGAAGATACCCAAATCAATACAGAATAGGCGTTATTTAAGTAATGAATGAGTAAATGAATACTGAAAAACAGAATAATACCAACCTATAGAGACTTTTGAATGCTAGCATAAACAATTTGCACTAGAGATAAAGTGGAACACTTACAGGCTTTTGAGCAAAGATGGATCACTTTCAGTGCTATGCTGAGGGAAGATGAATTTGCAGGAGGGGGCCAATTAGTTAGTTATTTCTGTAGTCCAGGAGGATGGTAATAATGACATGAATTACTAAATTGGAAGTAGAAAGTGAAAGGAGAGAATAAATTGGAGAGATGTGTCAGAGGCAGGATTGATAGTTAAAGCAATTATTTGGCTCTGGTAACAAAGATGAAGGCAATGAAAATGATTCCTCAATTTTCAGCCTGATGATAGGGAGGGCAGTGATGCTTTTAACAGAAATAAAGAACACAGAAAGATAAGCGTCAACTTGCAAAGAAAGGTAATTAGTTGAGTGTTAGACATATGGCTGGCAGGAGCACTGACAGGACATCCAGGTGAAGATTTGCAGCAAGCAGATAAGTATTGTTTTGTTCCTAAAATGTAAACGATGTCACAAGGCGGGAAGCAACATTTGCCACTTGATATGCCCCTCACTTAACCTCTACTTTTCAATCAATTGCATGTAAGGAGCAAAGACAGGGAAGGTTTTGTTCCTTAGTGTTGAAACATTCAACACACACACACACGCACACTCTTGGCAGTATCAGTTAGGGTGATCAAATATTTTGGATTACTTTGATGCACCCGAAGCCCTGGGTTCCTAAATCCTCTAGTTGGAAGGCAACATAATAAAGTGAGTGGCTTGCTTGGACTAAAATTGAGCCTAGGCCACTGGATCTCAAATGTTAGATGCATTGGAATCACTTGAAGAGCTTATTAATCTACAATGTTCTAGTCTCTCCCCAAGAGTCTCTGATTAGGTAGTTCTGCCGTGGGCTCTAAGACTTTACATTTCTCTTAGGTTACCAAGTGGTGCTGATGCAGCTGGACCAGGGCCCATGCCTTGAAGATCACTGGCTTAAGACCAGGGCTTTTAAATAGTACCCAGAAGAGTGATTCTCAGAAGATAATCTGTGAACAATGTTTATCAGAATCATCTGTATTGCTCATTAATTTAATTCTTGGGTCCCACCCCAGACTCCGTGAATCTTGATATCTGGGTTTGGAGGTTTAAGAATAAGCATTTTGGACAGCCTCACTAGGCAATTCTTAATAGCATATAAAGTTTGAGAACCACTCAAATTGTGATGTGAATTTTAATTAGTTTTGAGAGGACATTACAGACTTAAGTTTTTTAACTGTGATGGAAAGAGCAAGTGACCAGAATTAAGAGATGTGGGCTGCAGATATAAATATTGACACTAATCAGCTGTGTGGCCTTGGGTAAATCACTTAACCTTTTTAGGTATAATTTTCTCATCCATAAAACAAAATGATTAATCTAGAAGGTCCCTGCAGTCTCTTTCAGCTCCATAACTGTGATGAGTTCTAGGAATCGCAATGGCAGAGATAAACATTCCCAGAGTTTAGGAAAACAAATTATTCTCAATTGGATGTGTCCGAATAACATGAGTTTTTGTTCTGTTGAACTATACATACTTCCTTCCCCCATTCTGACTTGCTTCTTTTGCTGGGGGCTGGTTAATAGGTTATTGGTCTCTTCTGTCTTTGAGAATCACTACTGGGATGAGCCATATTTGTGGGATAGATTGAGTCTTACCTCTCAGGAATGCTGAGCTTTATATGATAAGCAAGCACAATCCAATTTTTATTGGAGCATAATGTGAAGAAGATAGTTATTGAAGTTTATTAGCCAAAATAGTGCCTCTTAAAAATGCATACTAAAATAGAATTTAGATTTACATGATTTCTATCCCATACCCATTAGGATGGCTACTATCAAAAAAACAAAATAAATGTTGGTGAGAATGTAAAAAAAAAAAAAAAATGGAACTCTTGTGCATTATTTGTGTGAAGGTAAAATGGTGCAACCATTATGGAAAACAGTATGGCAGTTCCTTAAATAATTAAAACTAGAATTGCCATTTCGTCTAGCAGTTCCACTTCTGGATATATACCCAAGATAATTGAGAGCCATTATTCATAACAGCCAAAAGGTAGAAGCAACCCATGTCTGTTGATAATGAACAGATAAACAAAATGCAGGATATATATGTGTGTGTGTGTATATGTATATACATATATATATAGCATATATATAAAATGCAGGATATATATACACACACATATATACACATATATACACATATATACACATACACATATACACAACAGAATATTATTTAGCCTTAAAATTGAAGGAAATTCTGACACATGCTGCAATGTAGATGAACCTAGAGGACATTATGCTAAGTGAAGAAAGCCCGTCAAAAAAGGACAACTACTATGTGATTACATTTATATGAGATACCTAGAATGTTCAAATTCGTAGAGACATAATTGATTGCTAAGGCCTTGGGGGGAAGAGGGAATGGGAGGAGGGAATTTTTAGTGGGTACAGAGTTTTAGTTTTGCAAGAAAAAGGGCTGTGGAGATGGATGGTGGCGATGGTTGCACAATAATGTAAATGTATTTAATGCTACTAAACTGTACACCTAAAATGGTTAAGATGGTGAATTTTATGTTACATGTATTTTATAATTTTAAAAAATAAATAAAATTTAAAATTTCAATAAAAATTTGCATTGAAAAAATGAACTTTAAATATGAAAGCTATGAATGTGATGTGCTTAGATTATATTACAAGCCAATTTTTATCACATAAAAAGAGAAGCTTTATCTTTAGTTATGGAGTTTTTTAAAATGTATTGTGCACTTTTGGACTCCAGTATTTAATGTTAGGTATAATAGGAGAAATAAAGGAATAATGGAAGAAGCCAGTTATTTTCTGTAAAACATAAGCATGGTTTTATACTGTAATATATTTATTTCCCCCAAACACTATCAAGACATTCAAATTTTATTTATTTTATTATCTCCTAGGCAAAGCTGGCGCCAGATAGCAGAGCCCTAAAGGATTTTGCAAGACATATTGATTTAAAATAAGAAAAATAATAGAGTTATGGATATTTAACAAGAAAGGAGGAATTTATAATCAGAAGCTTTAGTGCCTAAGATGACAATTAATCTGAGAAACATAAAAACAGAAAGATATGCTAATAGTCATGGCATTTATGTTTAGTCAGAGAATTGAATTTAGCAGTTGAGAAGGAGAAAATTGTAGAACACTGAACACATAAATCAGAATGAGAGGAGAGGGAGGGCCCTTTTGAGGATGTAAAAGAACAGCCAGGGACTGGGAGCCACAGAAAGCGAATGAAACTTACATATGTATAATATACATACACACTAACCTGAAAGATGTTTTTGACAAAGGAATTGAAAAAGACAAGGGCATGAAAACATTTTATTTTTTAAAAAGTCAAAATGGAAATTAAACAAAAATTGTATTCATATGTGTGACTATTTGCGTATGTGTGATTTTTGCAGATGTCTCCTGTTTATTTTATTTTTATATTTATTTTTTATTTTTGAGATGGAGTTTCACTCTTGTTGCCCAGGCTGGAGTGCAATGGCGCAATCTCAGCTCACTGCAACCTCCGCCTCCCAGGTTCAAGTGATTCTTCTGCCTCAGCTTCCCGAGTAGCTGGGATTACAGGCATGCGCCACCACACCTGGCTAATTTTATATTTTTAATAGAGACGGGGTTTCCCCATATTGGTCAGGCTGGTCTCGAACTCCTGACCTCAGGTGATCTGTCCGCCTCAGCCTCCCAAAGTGCTGGGATTACAGGCGTGAGCCACAGCGCCCGGCCTGTTTAAATAAAGAAGGAAGTCATAAAGATGTATACTCTGCTATTAATGGAGGTAAACTCTGAGGGTAAAATTGGAGACTAAAATAATTTTTAAATTATGGTAGGTGTAATAGTTCATTTTCTCACAGCTATAAAGAAATGCCTGAGACTGGGTAATTGATAAAGAAAAGAGGTTTAACTGACTCACAGTTCTGCATGGCTGAGGAGGCCTCAGGAAACTTACAATCATGGTGGAAGGTGAAGGGGAAGCAGGCACCTTCTTCACAAGGCAGCAGAATAGAATGAGTGTGAAATCGAGGAAATATCACTTTAAAACCACTAGCTCGGCAAGAACTCACTCACTATTGTGAGAACAGCACGGGAGAAACTACGCCCATGATCCAGTCACCTCCTATCTGGTCCCTACCCTGACACATGGGGATTACAATTTGAAATGAGATTTGGATGGGAACACAGAGCCAAATGGTATCAGTAGGATTATAATTTTTAATTTTTGGTATTTACCCAACAGAAAATTTTTAAAAAATATATATGCATTTTCCAATTTGGGAAGTAACTTTGAGAGTAAGAACTAAACCAAGGCAATACCTTGGATATTTATTGGAATAAGAAGTTTGAGAATATAATGCAACCAGCAGGAAACAAAGATGCATCAATCTATTCTTTTTTCATCCTGGGGAACTAGAAAGCTGGAAAATCCTTTGGAGAATTTTTTCACTTGGGTATGAGGCTGTGTTTTAAGTCAGGACTAACAACATAGGCTTGATGTTAGGGTCTCTGTGTTAGGGACTCCCACTACAGTCCTCTGAAGTTTCCTAGGAAGCATTTTCTCTCATAAGCTATTAAACAGTTTGAAATTAGTGTCCAAAGACTCACTGAATATTCATTCCAGAAAAAATCTTAGAATTAATAAATTCTGTTTCCACAATTTTAAAATATGGAAGAAAACTAAGTCCAAAGTGGCTCTCTATTCTTCACAATCGAGAAACTGATTTCAAATACTCCTGCTATTCTTTTTACATCTTATTGCTCATCTAGTTTGAATTATTATATTAATGTCCAATTAGCAAGTTCCAGTGATACATGGCCCAGTAGGTGTCTTTGTTCCACAAGCACCTTCCTCCCCCACCACTTTATTGCAGCACCTTCTCTTCTAACTGGAATTGCTTTTTGTTTCTTGCACATACTATGCTCTGCTCACCTTCATGCCTTTGCTCAGGCCCTCTCCTCCCTATCCCATTTTTTTGTTATTTCTGTTACCTAATTAAATACTACTCATTCTAAGTTTAATATCACTTCCTTTAGGAAGTCTTCACTGATCTGAAGTAGCCTCATCCTTCAGGCTATGCTAGGTTCCCTTTCCCTGTGTTCTCACAATGTCTTGTACAAATCTCTGTGGGGTACCTGCTGTTCTGCATTTTACTTAGCAGCCACTGAATAAATGTTTGTTGATTAAAGGAATGAGTGAATGAATAGATGAATTAGAATTGAATGTAGCTAATTAAAAGAAGAATTGGAGCAGATCTGGCTTTCATCATGAATTAAATCACTGTGGAAAAAAGCAATTTTAAAAGAACATACTCTGTCAACAGCAGGTTGGTAGTATCATCTTTATGTACATAAGACAGTACTTCACTGTTGCATCAGCATCCAGTATAATTCACAGAATTTGTATACATATATATATATATATATATATATATACATACATACATATATATATATATATATATATATATATACACATACATACATATATTTTTTCTTGGCATCTAGAAAAACATGTTTGTTTGTAGTATTTGTAGTATGATTTGTCTGCTATAAAACTTGACACATTGTAACTTATGTAAAATTCCTGGTGATGACCTAAGAAGTCTTCATAAGCAACTTTACATGTGTCACAATGATTCTAGGTTTCTCCTTTTCTTTTTGAGAAAACATCTAATCGAGTCTGATTTTGATTTCAAATATCCATGAGGATTGTTAAAAACAAAAATAAGTCTTAATAATAATTTAAAAAAATCCAACTCTACTATTAAAAATGCATTAGCACGGCTGCTGGAAATGATCTCTACATCTTTTTTATTCTCCCACTGTGCAGTTCTCTTCTTTCTTTGTGTGATGACTGACACAGACCTAAAAACTCTGATTTCTAGAGAGCAGAAAATATGCCAGTGGTATCGGAGCTCTCAGCTGCAGGGTGTAGTACTGAAGTGAATCATGTATTTGTTGGAATCATTTGGCAAAAGGGCAAATGCAGCAAATACACTGCTCCCTCCAAGTCCAGTGGTATGACAGCCCAGGCTTGGCGTTTTCGTAGAACCAAAGCTGTTGAGTTTGTTGTCTTGTTTTACCCCAAGCCATTTTCAGTTTGTTTATTTCTGTAATAAGGGCCTAACCCAGATTTTGAGGTCATATACCTAGTTAATATATTAGCAAGTTGCTCACTAAAGCTCCAATTAGCCCTCACCCTCCTTCTGCTGATGGCTCATTAATTGTCATCTACTTTGGCATTTTTACTCAATGACAAATGATGCTTATAGCTCTAGGAGGAAGGGGAATGGAACAAGCAGAAAAGAGGATATGGCCGACATGCAAGGTCAGGACGAAGTATAGATGAAGCTGTGTAACAGCTGAAATCTGTTTTCTACTCACAGCCTTTTTTCCTTTGTGCAACATGGTGCAGAGCTGCTTCATCCTTAAGTCTAGCATGCATCAGCTGCTATCTTTCCCAGCCTCACTCAGCTGTGGGAAGCAATGCCCTCAAGACTTTCAGCTGCTGGTGAGATTGCTGTTAGCCAAGCTTCCACTGCCACTGTCAGGGATGAAGAGGGGCCCCACACCTCAGTAAGCACCTGGCAATATGCTCACCCCTCCTGCCAACCTACACTCATCTTATCAACATAATTTGCCTAGAGTCTGTGTTGGTCCTGGATTCCTAAATGCTGCCCTCATGGAAAGTCTGAAATTTCCAGATTACTGTTTAAATCTCACTGATATGGATCTGCGCATCCCTTGATTTTGACCAGTTTTCCTATTCCTCTACAACTCTCCAGGTTCTTCTACTCTGCTCTATGAAACTTTATTATCAGCAGGATGTGTGTATCTAGGGAGGTCACATAATTTGTTGTCATAATGGTAATACTCTTGAGAGTGAGTGGGAATACAGTTAATAACACTGGGACAAGTGGCAAAATCGAGACTGTCCCAAGCAAACTAGGAAAAATAATCACCTTACCTATAACCTCCATTTGTTTTTTGAAATTTCCTTTTACTTTATTTTGCTAAGTAGAATGTACTTATCTTCTGGGGATACTGCATTGCCTGTGGTCTTGTGGTGATTATTTTTCTCTGCTACAACACTCATACCACTGGGACAGGATCCAGTGTTGGTATCCTCTTTGCCCCTCAAACCATTTCTAGACCCTTGTCCCGAAAATTCTCCAGCTTTGAAGCTTATGTTATCAGACTTTACTACCTGCCACTCAGTGTTACTGAGTGGTCACTAACTGACCCTGCAACACTCCTCCAACATTATTTGAATATTTTTATCACTTGGCTTTCTGTCACTCTCTCAAATAGGAGTTCTGCGTTTCTTCTTGGCGATTTGATTATTCACATAAGCATCTCTTTCCAGTACTTTCTTTTTCAGTCTCAAGTCTTCCTCTTCTCCAAAGATTTTGTCTTTTCTACTACCTGAGCTACCAAATCCCTTGTCATCAATTTCAATAACTGTATTCTCTTCATCATTTCAACTTCAAACGTGTCATCTCAGAACAAGCTTCATGTTACTTCCAATTTTATCCTTCTTGTTTGCTGATTCCAAGAATTCCAGTCCCATCTAGGCCCGCAATGCATTGTTCCTGCCACCCTTTTCATATCCTCAATTCCCTTGTATCATCACTTTCCTTTTATATAGCACAGATTCCATGATTCATAACAATAATTATGTTTTTTTTGCATGTGCTCTTAATTTCCTTTCTTGCTCCTATTATCTTCTATCATACTTTTCTGGAAACACTAATTCTGGTGAAATATACTCTTTGTGGACTTTGCACTTATGCTCAGTCAGCTGAAGATGATGGCTAGACAAATACTCACAATCATGCTGACTGGTCCCAATTTATAGTCATGACCACCGATTACAAACCCCTTCAGTCTTGTCTAGAAAGTTTATTATATTTTAGTAGTTTACTATCTCTTTGATTCTCCAGGACAGCCATTCCTATTTTCTCTTTCTTCAAATCTCCAGAATCTCTGCCCTGCTGCTTACACTTTGGTGATGACTTTGGTTTAAATATAATACAAGCAGTCAAGGATGAACTTCCTTATGCTCCCACCACCACATCTTCTAACTTATGTCCTTCTCTCCTCTTACTATGGATGGACTGTGCTTCTAAGTCCAAACCGTCTACCTGTGCACTAAGATGCCATAACTTATCTCCTAATCAAAGAAAGTTCTCCAGCAATACTGCAGTCTTTTTCCTGTATTATGGGTTTCCTTCTCTTTATTGCATACTCCCATCAATATACAGATACTGTATATGTCTTCTTTCGTAAAAAATTTCCCCAAACCTGACATCCTACTCCAGAAACTCCTCTCATTACTCAGCATTTTCTTTCAGCAAAATTTCTTTAAAAAGGAGTTACTCCTTTAAAAAGAGCTATAGTATCTCCTTGTAGTTTTACTACAGTTACCAGTGTCACTCCTCCAACGTGGCTTGAAGATTTTATCACTTGGCTCTCTGTCACTCTCTCAAATATTAGTTCTGTGTTTATTCTTGGTGATTCGATTATTTGTACAGGCATTTTTTTTCCAGTACCTGGTTCTCATAATCTCTTCTTTCTAGTCTCATAATCTCCACATCCTCTCTTTTACTTCTTTTCTTTTCTCTAATCTTTCCCTAATCTCTTCTTCTACTCTACCAGGCCTGTTGTTGTCAGGTCACCAGTGACTGCTGGTTTCCAAAACTAAAATTAATTTTTAGCATTCATCACCCTTTATCATGAGCATCATTTGACAGACAGTTGATCCTCTGAACTTCTTGAAATTCTTCTTTTCTTTTGGTTTTTAAACCACCACTTACTCTCTCTTGTTTTCCATCTTACCTCACTAGCTGATAGTTTCCTGATGCTTTGTTATGCCCTCTCTGTCTCTGCCTCCTCTAAATATTAAATTGTGTTTATATGTTTTTCTTTTCCAGATATACTCATATCCTCAGTGACCACATCCAGCCTTGTGGCCTTAAATATAAACTTTGCCTGCGTAATGAGTAAGCATTTCATATTAACTACCATGCCAGAGACAAATTCTCATTTGACTTATCAAACCTACTCTTGTCATGGTTTTCTCAATCTCAATAAATGGCAACTCCATCCCTCCACCTACGTAAGCCAAAGATATTGAAGTCATCCCTAACTCCTCTTTTTCACCCCACATTTACTCTTTTAGAAAATCTTGTCAGTGCTACCTTCAAAATATGTTTAAATTTAATCCCTTCTCATCACTTTCACCATAATCACTCTGGTCCACCCCCGCCTCATGTCACACTTGGATTATTACAGTGGCCTCCTCACTAAGCTCCCCGCTCCCACCCTTGAGCCCCCTGGTCTCCACACAGCATCTAGAGCGGACCTTTAAAAAGTTATGTTGCGTCACTCTTCTGCTCAAAACTCTGCACTGGTTTCTCATCTCAGAGTAACTAAGGTCATTAAAATCACTCATAGAATATTATATCAGTGATTGTCAACCCTTATTGTGAATCAGAATCACTTGGAGGAATGTGAGAAATTTAGCTGCCTTCCATTTACCAATTAAGATACAATTTGGACTTTAGTGGGGCCCAAGCATCAGCCTTTTCAATGGCCTCCATCCTGCCCACCTCCCACTCTGATCATATCCATCTGCCTCTCCATCCCCTAACCCCCTCTCTGTGCAACCTGCTCCAACCTCACTGATCTTCTTGACATTTCTCTCCAGTATGCCAAGCTAGCTTCTGCCTCAGGAATTTTGTAATGAGCATTCCCTCTGCCTGGAGCACTTCCTGTCCCCTCTCTCCAAACTATATGCATGGTTCACCCCCTGTCCTCTTTCAGGTCTCCATTCAAACATCAGTTTCTCAGAGAAGTATTTCCCAACCTCCCAATGTGGGATGGCAACATCCTCTTCATGATCTGCTTTTTTTTTTCCATTCTTACCCTTCCAGTTTTTCTTTAGAGCACACATTTATGCTTGTCTGTTATCTTCTCTTCACTACAATATAATCTCCATTTAGGCAGGAACTTTACCTGTTCTATTACACCTTCTAATGCCTAGAACAGAGACTTGGAAACAATAGGTATTCACTGAATATGTGTTGAATGAGTATGTAAAATAGCAGGTTCAAGTCCACTGAATTTTTCAGCCAGAGCTGAATAAAACTGGGGTAAGCTTACTCACTAGTTCTTAGGGTCTGGGATTTGTCTTCCTTCCTCAGTCTTCTAAAACCCATGACACTGGCCCATATTGTTATGACTAATCTTTTGCCTTGGCTTCCATTTTAATACTTCAGTTTTCCAGCTAGGATTAGAGCTAGGCCCTGAAGTCCAGTGGCTTGGTTGCAGCCCTGATGCCCAGTTTGGAGCTTGTGAGTTCCCCCCAGTAATAGCACCCCTTTCCCCATATTGCTCTTGGACTTCTGTGGACAGACAGCCTATACATTAATGCTATCTTTATGAATGAATACTGCTGGTGCTGGCACCACCACCGACTTCCCTGTTACTATGGTATCCATTTGAGTGTACATCCCCTTGGAACTTCATAGTCTGAAGTATTATTCACTTACAAATCCTACCAATCCTGGTTTTATTTACTTCTCTAGTGGTCTTCTATGCTGAGATTCTAGAATGATTTGTTTTTCCCCAAGAGTTATAATAGATTAATGGGAAGTGAATATGGCCCTCATAATAATCAGGGACTTCCCTATTTTAGTGCTGCACATGATCCTTGATTTCTGGTCAGATCCTTACCTGCCACCTGGAAGTTTCTACAACTGCTCTCAGAAGCTGTATCTGTTTATGTCCTAGGCCCATCTAAAATAATCTAATAGACTAAATTCCACTAAGGTGCTAATGCCAGTAACTACTCAAAGTCATAGTCTTTTAAGATGTATTTGCGTTTTAAGAGAAATGAACTTCCCATGGTGTAATTTCAGAATGTTGCTGAGTCACCATCATGGCCTCCTAACTGGCTTCCAGCTTCCATGTTGCCATCTTCCGTTTGTTTCAGCACAATAGTCATATGATTTGCCAAAATATGTTATCATGTTGCTCTTCAGTTCAAAACTCTCCTGAGGTTTGATATCCCACCAGAGAAAAAGCCAACTTAGGATGTTCTAGACAGCCTGTGTTAGCACAACTCAAACTTTAATATGCATATGAACCACCTATGGATATTGTTAAAATGAGATTCACGTTTAGAAAGGCTGGGATAGGGGCATAAGAGTCTATATTTTTAGGAAGCTCTCACGTGATGCAGACACTGCTAGTCCACAGGACCATACTTTGCATTGCTAGACCCTACATGATTCATCTGCTCTCTACCTCCAGATCTTTTACCTCTTGACCTTGTTGCACTTCTGATATTATCCCTTATTTCTGAATCCATACTGGCCCCCTTCATATTCTTGGAACATCTAGGCATGCTTCTACCTCAGGGCCTTTGTACTGGCTGACCCTCTTTCTAAAAACACTTTACTCAGACGTACACATACTCTCCCCTCTCCAACCTGCTTAAAGTTTGTATTCAAATGTTATTTTCTTAGTGAAGCCTTCCCTGGCTACCTGATTTAATAAAGCAGATTACCTTGCTTCTCGGTATTTCCCATCCTCTTCTCCTACTTTATTTTTTCTCCTTAACAATTCTCACTACTGAACATACCACAGAGCTTGTTTATTTTGTTTATTGTTTATACCCACTATAATGCAAACTCCATGAAGGCATTTGTTTTCATTTCTGTCCATCCCAGTGACTAATGTACTGCTTGACAAATAGAAGGTGCTCAATAAATAATTGTTGAATGAATGCATAAAAAATTCAGCTGCATTTTAAAAATCATATTTTTTCTACTTATGCAAAAGATCTTGGTTAAAGCAAGGCAGAAAAAAAAATTTGTCTAGTTTACTTAGGGTAGTTTGCTACCAAGTTTAGCAAATCAGAACTCATCGACTTAATGCTCATTTACACAGATTTCTTTGGTACAAGCCGAAACAAGATGGTAGATGAGATCGGTATCTACCTTCGAGTAAGAGAAACTTAATGAGACTAGTAGCACAATTAAGAACAAATACAGACTGAGACATTAATGGAATCTATTTAAAGTTATAGATTGTGAGGACTGTTTTTCTCAGTGATGCAGGCCTTCCTGGAAGGCAGTTACTATATATATATCCATATATAGTGTGTGTATATATATATGTATATACTATATACATATATAGTATATGCGTATATATACATACATGTACATGTATGTATATACATACATATACATGTATGTATATACATACATGTACATGTATGTATATACATACATATACATGTATGTATATACATACATATATAGTATATACATACACACACACATACATATATATATATATGGATTCTTGCCCAAGATATTATAGAAGAAGTGTGGCCTTTTGTGAAATGTTGACCTAAAAGACCTCTGATGTCTTATCTGCCTGTATAAATTAGAAATCAATGACAGAGAATAAAAAGCTGCTGTGTGAAATGTTCAAGACTAGTTTCTTGAATAAGAATCCACAACCACATTCCATGTGTCATAGTTCTCAATTTCATGAAACTCCAATGAACTTTATCAGGTGAAAAGGTTATTATTTGTTTGTTGGTTGTTTTTTTAATAGAAGCTGGCCAAGACCTTGTAAGCTTGAACCAAAATACATCGTATTATTATTAGCTGCTCTCTGTCTAATCAATTGTCAGCTGTTTCTAATTTGGGTTGAAAGAAATATATAGTACAAACAAATTTCACTTAGATATTTTCTATTATAAATTCATTCAGAAGAGCATTTTCACTAGCCCTCTAGTAAATCAGAAAACTGAATCAACATGGTATAATAAATATTTGAGGACTTGATTTGCAGTTTCGAACTCATTAGCCCTCCTTATCAACAGACTAACAAAGAATAGAAATTATTATCTACCTCTTTTATTGTTTCTTCTTTTTATTATGTCACAACTTTACATTAAGATTAGGAAATATTAAACAATAAAGCTTTAAATTACAAATCCCTCACATATAAATTGTCTCAGGTAATCTTCAGGGCCATCTTATGAGAAAGGTTTATGGCTCTACTCATACTACTTATTGATGCTTTATATATATTATCTTATTTAATCTTGACAAAAACTGTGTGAGGTAGAATTCTTATCTTCATGATGCAACTCTCAAGGCCCAGAGATTTTGAGTAGCTAGTTATGTTTATACATTTTATTTAAAAAAATGAGCTGGATTCAAACCCGGATTGATGTGCCCATTAACACCAGGCTGGTGGGAGAAAATAAAATGAAATTTCTCTGCAATAATACTGTATAGAATGAGGTTATAAGGCAGGGGGAGCTTTGGCTCCTAAAATGGAATAGAAATATGAACTATAAATTTCTATTTATATTAATCATCAAAAAACAAATTCATTTTTAACAGATGATATAAAGGAAAATAACTCATCCTCAAAGCCATAGTGTATACTTATTCTGAACACAAATTCATTAACATGCTATGAGTACCCAGTAAGCCTTAAAATGTCCACCCTCCTCCTCCCTTCCCCAAAAATACATGTTCATTCACCCACTTGGATCCATCTCTCAACCCGAACCCCATTAACTGGGAGAACCATGTTGAAACTCCAGGAGCCAATGGTTCTTTGGAGAAAGCCAAGAAATATTTTAGAATCAATAACTGAGCCCCAGAAAATGGGGTATAATAAGGGCAAAGAGGATAGAGGCCATTGCTAACATCTCCAGGACATTCACTTCCTTAAAGACATCATTAATACTTGAAGAAAGGTTTATGTTAGCATCACCAGCTCTCAGAAGAATGATATCAATATGTTGACTGCAAGAATTACTAGGCTGACTCTAGGGACCATAGTAGTAGCAGTGGCAGATAAAGGGTGCCAGATGAAAAAGCAGAGAATAATGCTGGAACCTGTCACAGAATAATTTTTATAGTCATCAAAATATCCTCTAGGATGACATTAGTGAGTTTGCCTTTAGAACAGGAAACACAGACTTGGAGTCCAAATTATTCTGCAGTGGAAGGTCAGAGAGAAAAAGTGTATACCACTATTGCTGCTATTACTGACGTTCATTCCTGCATTCCATAATTATTTATTAAATGTCAACAATGATTTTCACTAGGCTAGTCACTAGAGATAATTTTAAGAAAAAACAGTCAGATCTCTCATAGAGGTTGATAGGGTTTGAATTGCTTCCGTATATATGTTTATAAGCTACAGCTCAGAGTAAAAATAGCCTTAAGATTTTCACATAAAAGAAAAACAGTCTTTCTATGCCTTTTTAATATAGATAGTTATAGAAAAAGTAAGATGTAAATAAAGATTTTCACATTTGGAATAGAAACAGACATCCATAGGAACCTTATTTGTTGACAAGATTAACTTTTACTTCCAGATAGCTTCACATAATCACAACTAAAGATGACGGTTTAATCCAAAAACAAGTGTAGTGTAGAAAATACCCTGAGTCATTTAAAAGAATCAGATAACTTGAATGATATTTGGAATGGGATTTATAAAAACTTTTTTAAACTTCATGTTTGTTAAGTCCTTAACCCTTTTCTGAACAAAATACCAGTGTGTGTATTTGATTTTGGAATTCAAATGGAAACTGATCTGTTAGACACACTACAGAGGACTTTGAATTCCCTAAAAAATCTTCTTTAAATCAATATAAGATGCATTGTAACAGGAAATTTGCCGTCAGCATTAAAGATAAAAAACAAAAAACAAAACAAAAAAAACAAATCTCAACTGCGCAATTCCAGCATGGGACACAAAATGGTAAGGACTATTAAAGGAGAACCATGGACAGTACCTTTTGAATGCCTGCCTGGGACTCCAGAACATTGTTCTCCGATCCATTGCTTCGGTTGATCATCCGCCACATTTGGGAATACATGCTGTCCCTCTCAAAAGGATTCAGTCCTTTCATGCGGACATGCTCATATACCGCAGAGTCTAGGACTGTGCCATAAGGGATTTCTGTTTGCTTGGAAAGGTCCTGGAGAGACCTTGATTATTGGGAGAGAAGAGAGACACAAGAGACACATTACTGAGTATTTTCAAGTGGGAATAAAGTTAAAAGAAAAAAAAAGGCAATATGTGTGGAAACATATATCAAATTGCTTTTCTTATTTTATTGTTTTCTGATATTAGGATATAATGTGTAAGAAAAACTTCTGTTAGGGTATATGGCATTTATACAAATTATGAGAACACAAAATTATTATTGAAGGAAAAGTGAAAACGTCTAGTGGTAATGCAATGCTTTCTTTGTGAAGCTTCATGGGAGAAAAAGCTAGCAATTCCATCAAAGACAAGTTAAATTAGACTGCTAGATAATCACATGCTAATTTAGTAATTTAAAAAACTTTCAATATGTTATCAGCATTAGTTCTACATTCCTTTACGTAGCAAGGCTTATTTGTATAAAATTATAGAATTTACATAAACAACATGCTTTGAGGTCAAATGTAGTCTTAAAAATTAGTAGTTATGATAGTCATTATTTATTGAATACACACGTCAGACAATTGATATACATTATCCTCACAGAAATGCCTCACATCAATAATTATTTGACCCATTTTATAGAGGAAGAGACTGAGGTTGAGAGAATAAGTGACTTGATCAGTGTGTCATAGTCAGTGAGTGCGAGAGCTAGAATTCAAATGTGGGTCTGTCCAGCCTCAAAGACCATAGTATTTCCAACGCAAGACACTGGTTGTTATTTCTATATTTCGTTTGCTATATTTGCTTTAGCATTGTGTGTGTGTGTGTGTGTGTGTGTGTGTGTGTGTGTGTACTGTGGAGGTGGGGGGAGCGATTTCTATTTGGATGAGAATACATTTCATGTTTCTGGAAAGCTGAAAACATATTCAGAATAATGCTTCAAGATTTTTAAGTCAATCTTTTATGTTACAGATAGTATCTATTTGTCCCAGGTTATCTATCTCTAAATTGGTGGTCGATTTCCCTCCATTTGAGTTTCTGAGTCTCTCTATATTTTGCAGCTTAAAGAACCAGTTATCATTCCACTGGAACTCATTGAATTTGTGTAGGTGCCCAACTCTAATGACTGACATTTAAGAACAAATACTGTGCCTTTGACATACTGTTAAAATCAGATACTGGCACAGTTACAACTCACTAACTTTTGGGAATGGGAGCAGATGCTTTGAAACACTATACTGTACTTCAAACAAGAACGAATGCGCACAGAACTCTACAACCATAAGCCATGAATCTCATGTAATGTATATCTCTGATCTTTTGGTCTGTTTCTAGATGGAGTTTGCTAATGATTTCCTGAGGATCTTTGCAACCAACAGTAGCATTGGGCAAAGGCACTGGGAATACTCTTGCAGTTCACCAATCTCCATCATGTACAAAATTGTGTTGGAAACAATACATTATGGGCCATGTTTGTCAGAAGAGTATTTGTGCCAATTTCTAATAGTAACTTTCAGCAAACTTTTATCTGCATTTTATTGAGTTTTGTGTTTTTGATGTATATTATTTACTCCAT
The DNA here is from genome assembly GCF_000001405.40 of Homo sapiens. Classification (NCBI taxonomy): domain Eukaryota; kingdom Metazoa; phylum Chordata; class Mammalia; order Primates; family Hominidae; genus Homo; species Homo sapiens. Next base: position 93,513,698 of record NC_000004.12, on the reverse strand, counting down.
GGAAACTACCATGATAATTCCTTTTTGCTCTACACATCTGTTGCATAAAATAATGCATTTAAATCATCCTATCTGAAGAGAAAGTGCGATTCTGGAATTTTCTGGAATATTCTAAAATATTGAACGGATTCTACCATTTGTAAAAGGTAAACTAAAGCTATAATGTAAATGAATAATTGAGGGCAAAAGCAAGAGTAAAATGAGTATGTAGCTAGGATGCAACTGAATAACAAAGTGAGTGGACATTTACTTGTAGGTCATACCATAATTATCTTGATATATTATAACAACAAAAATTTTGTTTCAAGAGAGCAATTTACTGCTGTTTTCAGTAGTATCAGTAAAACTGTATTATAAACATGAACATTTTAAACATATATCCCCCTGTTTAGTGGAGGATACCCAAAAGTGGTAACACAGGAAGAAGGAATGGAATATATCTACACAGGTTATAACAACAATACTCGTTTGTTCAGTTTCTATAAATACAAAGGTGAAGACCAGATGGTTGTACACAGCATCATCTAGAACCTGCAGGTCTATAGTTGGAGAAAGCCCATATTGCAGGTCACCAGACACCCTACCAGTACAAGATTGGGCCCTTGGCTGTCTGGCAGTACTAACAATCAAACTCAACTATAATGATCAGAAGGTTTTAATCTAATGGAGGTGAGATCACAGTTTAGTGCAGTTTTTTTTTCAGTGCCTTCATTTAAATATATAAATGGGTTGCCCAAATAGTCACCCTGGCTAAATGCTGCTAAATAAATTAGTGCTCCTTCTTATCCTTCTATGAAAAGAAAACTGAAATCAAATGTTAAGATCTTTAATATGATCAGGTTTCTGTGACATAGCTTCACCTTAAATATTAGCTTTACAGCCTGAAAATATAGAGTTTTAATACAGTTTAGCTGGAGAAGTTGTTTTGTACACAATGCATTTTTAGAGGAATATCTTAATATATTGCCCATGTGAAGCTCCTGGTGTTACAAAAAAGGCAGTTTATATTCAACATACTTCAAGTTTAGAATAGCAGAGCATTTTGTAATTTAGAACAAAGGCATGTTCCCTCTAGTAGTTTCTGATATCAACTGCAACTTATAAATTTGCCTTGAGACATGTTTGCAATAAAAATTACAGGTTTTCTGATTCAGCATGTTCCATCATAGCACACTAAGATAGCACCAAAGATGACAAAAATAAAACGACTGAAGCAAAATGAAGTGAACACAAATAGCTTATTACCAAATGAAAAGGCCATTTCAGGAGCCCAAAATAGAAAGGGAGTAACTATTACAAGCGGTCACTTTGTATTTTTCATACTAAGAAGAGTTTAGAACAAGATTAGCAGAAATGCTGTAGCCTATATTATGAGCCTTTAAAGGAAATATAGTAGGTCATTCAACAAATGGTAATCTTCAAAAACTTGTATCTGAAGGTCAAAATCTGAGTGTATAATATTTAGACATGCCTAATCATTGTTTTAAAATGTAAAACAATCATAGAATCATTAATAGGCATCTAATATATACATTAATATACCATGTCAAATACAGACATTTCTTTTTTAACAATAGACATTTTCTCAGATGATAGGAGGAATGGGAAAATCAGCCAGGCATGGTGGCTCATGCCTGTAATCCCAGCACTTTGGGAGGCCAAGGTGGGTGGATCACTTGAGGTCAGGAGTTCGAGACCAGCCTGGCCAACATGGCAAAACCCTGTCTCTATTAAAAAGACAAAAAAAAAATTAGCTGGATGTGGTGGCATGCACCTGTAATCCCAGATACTCAGGAGGCTGAGGTAGAATTGCTTGAACCCGAGAGATGGAGGTTGCAGTGAGCTGAGATTGCACCATTGCACTCTAGCCTGGGCGACAAGAGCAAAACTCATTCTCAGAAAAGAAAAAAAAAAAAAAAGAAGAAGGAATGGAAAAATCTAGAGTACTCCAGAGAAGTGTTATCTGTGAACATAGTATTAGTATGTATAACTCATAGTATACTCTGTTTCTCTACCTAACCACATATCTCACATAAAACTCAGTGAATGCTCACTCTGAGAACCCATTAGACCTGAGGTCTCTTCTCTCAAACCCACAGTCTTACTCATGCACACAGTAAAAAAATGAGTGTCTATAGCTCTAAGTGGTGGATGATAAAAGAAAGAAAATGCTTTGCTGCTCTAATCAGCCTTATCTTCTTGACACCTGACTGAGATTATTTTTTTATTCCTGCTACTGTTCTCTGATCAGACTAGCATCAACCTGTGGGTACTGAACAATACTGAGAGCTTACGAGTAAGTTATATTTAGTTATTTGTATGAACAGTACATACACTGAGGTACTGTGTGATTTAAGGCAATTCTGTGAAAATAAATTTTTAAAATTTGAGTGGCTTTAGGTTTCTGTAAAATTCTTTCAATAAACACTGAAACTCTTTTCAAGCATTTAAAATTAATTTGGGGCCAGGCGCAGTGGCTCATGTCTGTAATCCCAGCACTTTGGGAGGCTGAGGTGGGCAGATCACTTGAGGTCAGGATATTGAGACCAGCCTGGCCAACATGGTGAAACCCTGTCTCTACTAAAAATACAAAACTTAGCTGGGCGTGCTGGTACACACCTGTAATCCCAGCTACTCACAAGGCTGAGGCAGGGGAATCACTTGAACCCAGAAGGCGGAGGTTGCAGTGAGCTGAGACTGTGCCACCGCACTCCAGTTTTGGCAACAGAGCGAGACTCCCTCTCAAAGGAAAATAAAAAATAAAAATAATACAATTAAATTTTTTAAATATTTGATAGTCTATTAGATATATCTGACAGCAATAGCTTTAACATTGAGTAGGTTAGATTTTAAAGTCAAGCATATCTGTCAAATCAGTATTTGATCAGGTTTCTACTGTTTTTATATAAAGATTATGATGTTGATGATTCCTCCTTCCACAATGCCTTATTTAATAATTTCTATTGGTATTTTTTTGTGGAATTTTTCCCCCCTGGCAGAGTCAGGTGATTCTTTATAAATATTGTTGAAGAAGAATTCATGCACTGAAATAGAATAAATAATGCATGATTTCCCTTCCAAGTATGAGATTGTGTGACTCTATGATACTAAATGGTCATAAATTTCTTCATAGCAAACTCTCTGGGACATTTATACAATTTTATATTAATGAAATAATGTTATATTAAATACGTTGTTAAAAACACATCTCTAAAACTGTCAACTATTTTTTTAAAAAATCTAATGCGTAACCCCTCTGTGGTAAACTTTCACTTATATTTTTTTCCTATCTTCCTTTAACAAGACAGTAGATGTCACTATCCACATAAAACTTAAATAACTCTCATAAACCTCTCTGTCCCATCTCCATCTTCTTTGTCTTCTAAGATTAAAAACTACATTTAGCCTGGTTGTGTAGAACGCTCATCAATAACTGACAAGAGTGGCCTGACAGCTGGCTTTGGGGAATTTTAAGTCTAATCCCATTTTCTATGGGGTGGAACAAGTCAACTTAAGTTATCACATCAGAGGAGATTTTTCTTCAGGGGGAGAAAAATGGAACGTGGCTGATAGGATAGGCACCAGATGCTTCAGGCAAAAGGGCTAACAGTGGAAAAGAGACAAATAGGGGTATATGACAAGCATCCTCCAACTCAGTTTAGGTTCCCCCCTATTCTCTTCTCAGTTTTCTCCTTTGGATGCTGATTTCAGCAACTGTCAAAGGACAGATATTGTTACAGCCCTGAGAGCTCATTAGCAACCATGTAAACAGCCTGCCTGTCCATTGGTTGTAGCAGCTGAGAGCTGTCCTATGAAGTGCGGTGACAAGTTTTCCAGCATAAAAAGTGATCCAAAATGTAGCATTTAAAGGAACAACTAATATGCCGTGAGGGTGAGAATTAATGTTGTTTAGACCCAAGAAGCAAGTCAAAGTGTTACAAAATGGACTGGGGTGCTTGGGTAAGGCAGGCCATCCCCAAGAGGTACTGCCAACTGACCAGCACTGAGCAAACACTTAGTTTCTAAAAGCATGAATTGTGAAAACATAAATATTTGTGTTTCAATCTTTGGGAAAATTATTTAAACTTCTCCAAAATGCAATTTCTTTCTCTATTGAGCAGAGGAACTAATACTTTTATATTAAGGTATCTAGAGGTTTGAATTAGATATTGTTTATAAGACACTTTTCTTAGTAATTAGCTATGAGCACTCAATTACCAGTAGTTAAAATTATTGATGTTATTATGATGATTACTATTACTTTGTTCTCTATTATGATTTCTGGAATTGCCGTATCCTTGTTTCCTATCAATTAGATTCATTCTCAGCTAATCCCCTTCCTTACCTGTGGATCTTTAACTTCCCCACCTCATCTACTCTCATCAAGTTCTGTATATTTTACCTCCTAAATTTTGTAAATCTGTCACCATCTTTGCCTTTCCACGTCTAATAGCCTTGTTATTTCTACCTGGACTATTATTTTTAAGCCTTTCCCTATCTCTGTTCTCACTCACCACTAATCCATTCTTTAGCACAGCTAAACTGTTCTTTCTGATATGCAATCTGATCATACTGCTGCCTTGTTTAAGTACTGCCTATGTACTTCACTGCCCTTAGAAAACAGTTTAAACTCCTTAGCCTTCAAGTTCCTTCAAAAATTTGGCTTAAGCCTTTTCTATTTCCATTCTCAGAAACAACCTTTTGCCTTACTCATATTCACAGTATAAGCCAAACACTGTTTCTTCATTCCTGGCTGTATCACAGGTGCATGTCTTGGTAGATGTCTTCTTGGCATAAGATGCTTCTCTGTCTACCTGGAGAATTCCTTCCTTTCAACATGAAACTTCACTGTCTCTTCAGTGCTCTTCTAACACTTGGAATATGTTCACATTTCAGCATTGTGTTTAGGAATTGTATTTGTTTATTTACCTCACTAGAATATAGATTGCTGGTTCCCATGATTTTTAAAAAACTTCATCTTTGAAATCCAGATCTAGCCCAGGGTCTGGAAAACAGTCAGCAATCAATGAGGCTTACTTGTTTTATGGTGGTCTTCTTCACTAGAAGGATATTTCATTTTGGGAAGTAAGCATTCCCCTGAAACTAGCATGGCATAATAATAGCATTTTAACTATATATTATTAGCCATTCTACAGCTGACTAATCATGACCAGAAGTATTTGTAGTTAAAAAATCAAAAACAAGGCCAGGCATGGTGGCTCATGCCTGTAATCCCAGCCCTTTGGGAGGCCAAGGCGGGCAGATCATGAGGTAAGGAGATGGAGAGTATCCTGGCCAACATGGTGAAACCCTGTCTCTACTAAAATACAAAAACTTAGCTGAGCATGGTGGTGGGTGCCTGCAGTCCCAACTACTCGGGAGGCTGAGGCAGGAGAATCGCTTGAACCCGGAGGCAGAGGTTGCAGTGAGCCGATATCACACCACTGCACCCCAGCCTGGGCTACAGACCAAGACTCCGTCAAAAAAAAAAAAAAAAATCAAAAACAAAATAAAAAATCTAAAACTTTTTTATTTTATTATATTATACTTTAAGTTTTAGGGTACATGTGCACAACGTGCAGGTTTGTTACATATGTATACATGTGCCATGCTGGTGTGCTGCACTCATTAACTCGTCATTTAGCATTAGGTATATCTCCTAATGCTATCCCTCCCAATTCCCCCACCCCACAGCAGTCTCCGGTGTGTGATGTTCCCCTTCCTGTGTCCATGTGTTCTCATTGTTCATTTTTAAAGAAATATTTGGCAATTTCCTCTGTAACACAATCAGCTGGGCAAGCTTCATTGAACCTCCAGTGAATTGCCTGTCATAATATTTTGCCACATATGTAAAATAAATAAATTCAGAGGCAAGGCAAATAAAAAGAAAACACAAACAATTAGGACCAAAAAACGTATTTCAAAAAGCTGAGGGTATAGTCTGTGATTCTGGTAGACATAGGACCTGGTACAAAGTAGAATATTTGCTCTTGAAAAAGTTACTTATCTGAGCAGTGCAGACAGAGAAGATAAGGGGTACATGAACTGAGTGATTTTTTCACTGAAATATTGGAAGCAAACTGAAATGGTGAAGAAAATTGCTTAATTGAAATGCTTATAAATATGTAAAAGAATTCATGATTTTAGTAGCTAAAGAATCTTGAGATAAGCAGCAGAACAAGTCGAGGACAGTCACCTTTGGCAATGTTGAGGATTACTACAGAAAATTATATTTCAGGATTGTTTTTCTTGGTTGAATATTTAGATAATGAGGAGGAAGGAGAGTATGTACGCTCTATGTATGGACAAATGGAATAAGCCTTCCACCTTCCTATTTACGGCGTAGCCAATGGCCACTTGTTCTTTGAGAAGTCACATTCCTATCTTACTTAGTAGCTCCTTTTCCTTAGTGAAGTTTTCTTAACTACCTCAGACTCAAGCTTGTAAAGTCTGGTGAAATGTAAAGGTATCAAGAGTATACGGTGGGATAAAAAGGACTCCTGATGTTTTCAAGGTGGCTTGGTCCATAATTAAGAGCTCTGTAAAAGATATTTTTAGTGCCTGAAGGGGTGTCCTTATTTAATGAAAGTAGGCTCAGGAAAGAGTTTTTAGCTTAATAGCACTAAGTTTCCTATTTTAAAAAAGATTAATGTCAAAGTCATGTTAATGGAAGACATAGGGTTCTCTCAGAGAAGATTAGATTGTATAGCCTAAAAGTATTCCTCACGGTGTGGGGTAATTCAGGAGGAACCCAGAGACAGCAATCTCTAATGAAGGAATGTACCAGCACCAAAGTGCTGTGTCTTCCTTCCTGTTATGGTGCCAGAGTCTCTTCCTCCTCAACACAGCAGAAGCCTTTGGAAGAGCAAGCTGAGGTCTGAGGCCAGCACGGTAGAATGATACCAGGCAAGGCAGAGGGTTAGGACTCCATTTTGGGAAATGGAGAGAACTTTTCAAATGAAGCCTTCTGGATGGAGAGGGTGCCATAGGAGGAACAAAGAGGGTTAGAGATTTACGGAGGGTCAGAAGATGGGCACCTCCATGTGGAATGCTTGAATAAGGTCTAAATGATGCAGCCTTTTCTAGTCGCTCCATTCTGTCCCTTTCCCCACTCCTGTCCTGAGTCTTTCATCTTCCCCCTAACTCTCCTCATGTGGCACAACAGAATACATTAGATAAAAGACAGCCTCAGGTCCTTCTGGTTTGAACTCCTTTAGAGTGTCTATTTCATTTTAATTTTTTTAGAACTGTTTAAATAGCCACCAGAATATAAGATGCGTTTGGTCTAGAAAAAGTGCGCAGCAAGATTCATGAGAAGGGCACATCTACCTGGCAGAACACGGTCCTCCTGTGGTAGATTAGATTACAAAGTGTGGGGATTACAGACCAGCAGATGACCCTGAAGTCTACCCTGACAGACTTGGGAATATTTTCTGCACTCTGTCCCGACGAAAGTATTCTGGGTCAGCCCTACCCACCATGTGGTACAGTCAGATGGTCACAGGTAAAATTGTAAGTTTATGTAAAGTAGATGCCCTTGGGAAGGGTAGATGTCATGGACTACTTAGGGGAACATCCCCTTGCATTAAAAAGATCTGCACTTTCCTTACAAACTTAGGAGTTAGTTCAGATATGTGGACACGGCAGGCCATTTTAGAGAATCTAAGGGAAGATGGAAATGCTGCACGTCTTACTGCTGTTGGCTATAACCAATAAAAATGATTGTTAAACTCTCTGTGAAATGATGGTGTTATACAGATGCAAGAGAACAGTCATCTGAAAATCTGACTGGCTTGTCTGACTTATTGACCCACATTACAAGCTAGAAACTAATTGTGTCACATCATGAACCCTGAAATGTGGCAGACACTGTATTTTTCTACCACAAACCTCAAAACTCTGACAGTGTTGACAGAAATATCATTTATGATCCTTTTCTCTATTTTAAATGGCTATTAGTTAAATAAACAAATATTTGGTATATATTAATATTTAATAATAAATACATTATAAAATAAATATACATGTATATACCATGAAAGGCCATTTTAGATATATTATATTTAATATATGTGTATGATATCTAATAAAATATATATTATAATATATAAATTATTAAGCAAATCTTCACTATAAAAGGTCCTAGTATTCTGTACATTCAATTATCCTGCAGTTTTCCTGTGCATGGTAAAAAGCATGTGCAGTTTCTTTTTTATATATCATAAAAAAGCTGCAATACTTATTTATCTCAAGACACTAGGAAGAAATACAAAATTATCCTAAATTTTATGGTCAGCATTTTACAATGTTACTGCTGATTATAGGATGATTGTAAAATTTATGTTAAGATGATATCTTCAAATAATGCAATAGATTTCAGTAGTGAAATAGGGGATTTTCATATTCCTATATTCTTGAAAATTCAGGAAGGACTTCACTAATTCCCGTTAATTTCCCTGGAAGGATCACATTTTTAAATGGTGTTAACAAAAACATACTAAAATAATCATAATACCAGAGAGTTGAAAGAGTTACCAGAGGCATTACATAATATGATTAGGTACCTTAAGGCACATAAACCAGTCCCTAAAACTGACTTCATGTTTTTTTTAATAAGATACTTCAGTGACTTGGAAAACTTAACACAAGGGAGTCCTTACTTGTACATAGCCCCAAAATCTCCTGTTTCACAGAAAACACTATTTTGTTCTCAATGAAAATGGACAATACCTGCATACCACCTCTGGTACAATATTTCTCTATGTAATAAAACACTTCTTTTTCATTTTCCTCCTTTAGCCTTCTCTTTGTCAAATTAAATACTAAATTATTTTAGTTGTTATCTATAAGATATATTACTTCCATTTTTAGACTGTTATTAACTAAACCATTTTTTTTTCTCTTGTATTTTAGTTTTTGCATAATTTGTGAACCTTCTAAGTAGGTCATGGTAGTCTTTACAAGGCTTGAACAACTTACATGCTGCTAGGTTACTCTGGTCATTTTAAAAATAAACACTAATGCCACATTTCAGATTTATAATTGACAGATGGTTTATACTGAAATTATCATAGGTATACACAAATATACGCATACAGTTTGTTTTTTCCATCTCTGAGTGATTATCACATATTCGTCCCTATTAAACTTCATCGTACTTCTAATCACCTTGTTTTATTTGTAAAGGTCCTTATACATTCTTACAGTGGAGTTCTAGTCAATAATCACCCCTACTCAATATAGAGTAATCTGCATATTTAATAAGCTTACTCCCTATTCCATACTTCAAATTAACATTGAAAATGTTAATTAGAATCAAGACCAATGCTGACTTATGGAAAAAAATTATTCAATATACCCTCCAAGGCTGACATTGAAATATTATTGATCACTACCTTGCATATGGCCTACTAACAAGCTCTGAAACAATAATACATAATAATACTACATGAAACAATGACCCAAATGAAATACAGTGTGAATTCAAATGAGGAATCCATAATAATTTGTGATTTTTTTCCTCTATAAGATCTTTTGAGGAGCTCAAAAACATTAATCATACTATCAAAAATTTCATAGTGGGAAATAAAAGACTAGGAGAAATAAGTTACCATGAATAAGTGTAGGCTAATTTAGTAGCCTATTTAAAGACCCAGTGAAACATTACTGTCAAAGTAAGGTAGAAGGTCACAGTTTCAGTGAAGTATCTAATGAATATGACAAAAACCAAAAATCCTGGCTCTTTATAACACAGGAACAGGGGGCCAAGTTTCTACTGATAACTCAACATTTTCCAAATGCAAAAGATACATTCCTCTTCTCAGTCCAGTAGGTCTGTGAATTTCTCAAAATAAATATTTTTTTTAAATTTATCTCACACCTTGTTTATTAAGATATCTCATTGGTATAGTTGATATAAAAGTTTATGCCTGAAGGGACATGGAAAATAACATCATTCAAACTGTGGAACAAATATTTGTGCAGTGAGCGAAGAATTGGATCACTTTTTTAAAAGACGAAAAACTGAAGTGCAAAGTGGTTTGAGTTCATGTCCTTTGTAGGGACATGGGTGAAGCTGGAAACCATCCTTCTCAGCAAACTATTGCAAGGACAAAAAACCGAACACCGCATGTTCTCACTCATAGGTGGGAATTGAACAATGAGAACACATGGACACAGGAAGGGGAACATCACACACCGAGGACTGTTGTGGGGTGGGGGGAGGGGAGAGGGATAGCATTAGGTGACATACCTAATGCTAAATGATGAGTTAATGGGTGCAGCACACCAACATGGCACATGTATACATATGTAACAAACCTGCACGTTGTGCACATGTACCCTAAAACTTAAAGTATAATAATAAAATAAAAAGAATTTGCCTTATTTTTTAGTAGGAGAAAAGAGACTTGAACCTAAGTCTTCAGTCTCCTTTAATAATATTCTTCTGCCAAACAGCTCTGCCTGCCAACTCCAGTCTTGCTGATTTTCATCACTACTCTTCCCACATTAATTTCACAGAAGGATGCTCCATACTCAAACTACGTCCTCCACAATGACTGATTCAGAATGATTCAGAGAAATTATCCTCTATTCTCAAGTAGGTGGTATTTCCTTTTTGAGAAATTTCAGCAGAAGTTGATATTAAATGCATATCTTGATGCCTGAGAGCCAGGTCTTATTAACTGCTATTTTGAGATTATAAATGCCCGAACTGTTTTGCAAATGTGCTCCACACTCCCAAGACAACAGCAAATCTTGAGAACTCTGTAGCATCCCTCTCAGAAAATGACAATCGTCCTCTGAATAAAAGCAGCCCACCAGCCAGCTTTAGACCTTATTCCTCGCCTTCCTCACCACTTGCTATTAGCTGGGGTATCTGGCTCTTATTTAGCATCATCCCTCTTTAGCATCTGGGCTTGAGAAATGGAGGCTGTAGTACGTGTGTGTGTGTGTGTGTGTGTGGTGTGCGTGTGTGTGTGGGGGGGGGGAGTGGAGGAGAGAGCCATTAAAATAAATTAAATATCTTTAGGTGACAGGAACTATGGAGGAACTAAGAGCATCAGAGAATTGATGGGGTCAAACAGATACTTAGCAGTAGAGTGTGGAGGGCAGCATACCAACATCACTGGCATGATGGAGAGGCTAGGGAAAGAAAAATAGGACTGGAAATAGAGAACTAGAAAAAGAAAATAAGAAGATATGACAAAAAAGGATTTTTTTTTTCAGATTTGCCTTTCAACTTAAGATATCTGTTATTCAGGTTTTCAGTTGAGTATCAGTTTTATCTCACACCTTGTTTATTAAGATATCTCATTGGTATAGTTGATATAAAAGTTTATGCCTGAAGGGACATGGAAAATAACATCATTCAAACTGTGGAGCAAATATTTGTGCAGTGAGCGAAGAATTGGATCACTTTTTTAAAAGACGAAAAACTGAAGTGCAAAGTAGTTTTAGAATTTGCCTTATTCTTTAGTAGGAGAAAAGAGACTTGAACCTAAGTCTTCAGTCTCCTTTAATAGTATTCTTCTGCCAAACAGCCCCGGCTGCCAACTCCAGTCTTGCTGATTTTCATCACTACTCTTCCCACATTAATTTCACAAAAGGATGCTCTGTACTCAAACTATGTCCTCCACAATGACTAAGCAGTATACTCCAAGCATAGGTTCTTTTTTTAACCATATCTATAAGTTTGTGGTGGATAGAATTTATTTATCCAGCAGACTTCAGTAAGGGGAGGAAGTAACAGAAAATGGAGAAGAGACAGGAATTTATATTCTTGAGCACAGCACTTAATAGGTTTCTAGGCTTAAAGGAGCAAGATTGGGAAGAAAGAGAAAAAGAGAAGGATTTGATTTGTCTAGAATGATTCATCTTGTTCAGAAGAAGATTATTTTAGAAGCTGTGGAAGATTATAAAATTGGTAAAGTTTTTGTCCTGGTGAGCTCAGTGTAAACAGAGTCTATGGAAATGCTAACATAGCCCTGTTCCTGGGAGCCACAAACTGTGAGACAACTTTTAATTAAATGCTCACTGAAAGGTGGCTTTGAAAGACCAATATACTTCTAGGAAGTTTTAATTTTTTTCCAAAACAGAGACAAAATTCTGTCTATGACATCGAGATAGCTGTACGTTTGGGAAACATCCATCACTGTAGTACTTAAGTGCTAGGACAAGTAAGCCATTTCAACACTAACAATAGAGAGTAAGGAGATGAATGTCTTCCTCTGCTGCAGTGCTTGTGTGTTCTGGAGTTAAGCCTATACAATTCTGTACTAAAATGAAACAGAAAGGCAGTATGAGCCAGCCCTCGCTCACTTCATCCACCTTCATTTTGGCTCCTCCTAATAAAGTGTGCAATTCCCTACTGAGAGCTATAAAAAAGACTCCTACTGGAAGACTGAAGAGTGAGTGGGTGACACAAAGGATACTTAGAGAGCATACCATTTTGGGTTTCCTCTCTTATCCTGGAATAATAGGACAAAGAAATGGCTTTCATATTTCTATCTAATTTTTTAAATGGGGTACACATACAAGTCATGGAGTTTCACACTCTCAGGTCAGATTCTAAAAAATGTCTTTCTAGTTCACTCAGTGAGTGAATATTTACTTGTAACCCACTAAGTACTCACACAATACACTACATAAGGCACTGAACTGGTACAAAGATGATAAAACAACCCTCAAGAATATGCATTTTAATAGGGAAGTAAAACAAGTAGAATAGTATTCCAATACAGGGTGTAAGTGAGGTAGATGTGAAGTGGTTCAAAAAAGGGAGACACTAAATATAGTTATGAATATGTGGCAAGGACATATTTGAGTATTTGAGCTGTGTATTATGAGAGGGCTAAATAAAGGTGAGTTAGGAGAGAAAACTTACCTGGCAAATATATATCCTGACCCAGGGGTCTTGCCAGTCTCTATTAGTAGCAACCTGATCTCAGTGCTAGTTAGTCACTAGCTAAGGTGAGATAACAGAGTGAATCATTCTTCCAAGACCTTATTTATGCCTAAATTCAGATAAGGCTTGCAGATGCATCAGATTTTTGTTTGTTTATTTTGCTTTTATCTTTGGGGAAAATGAGAGGATTAAGCAGCAGGGCAAAAAGACAACCCTCAGCAAGATAGACTGTAAGGTAGGATGGTGACATCTGTGTCAGAAACAGTAGCTCCATAAGCAAGAAACATTGAGATTTAGGTGAATCAGCTCAAAGGAACAATTAATATATAGAATTGTGGACAAAATGACAAAAATACCATCAAAATGGGGGCAGAGAGAAAGACAGGCCAAGGAATCTATATGAGTGCCTAGAGAAAATGTAGAAGAATGGAAGCAAATGTTAGGTAGGTGCTGTCCATGGACTGTGTTATATTATTCATGCTCTTTTTCACTTAATCTTTACACTAAACACTACACTAAACCTATGAAGTTGAATCTATCCCTTTTTTACTCTTAGGAAAATATGGTTTATAATAATTATGGAATCCTGACAAGGTCATTGAGCTATTAAGTGGCAAAGAATTCGAATGCAGATTTGTTTGAATCCAGTCTCCCGTTACTGACTTGCATACCACATAACTTAGAAATACCTGGAAGTAACTTAGCTAAACATACTGCTGCCATTTATTCTTTTCTGCAAAGCTCTCTTTATTTCCTAAGAAATTTATAGTAACCCTTATGGATGCCATTTATTCATTTATTTATTTCATACAATAAAGGTTTAGCGTATTTGTAATTAGCATACAATATGTTCCCCTGGTAAAAAGTTATAGTGCTAGATTGCCTGGGTTTACTACCCTAGCTTCAGTTTCATCATCTATAAAATAGAGATGATAATAACATATCTCTCATGGGGCTATTACGAAGACTAAATGAGAAAACCCATGCAAAGTATTTAGAAAACTAGCTGTCACATAGCAAGCACTCAAGAAATATTAGCTGCTCTTATTCATACTATTGTTAGGTACTCTGAGAGGCACTCTAGCAGTGCCTCTCAAGATGGATATAACATAGTCTTTGCTTTTGAAGAACTTAAAATCGCAAAGAGAAGGCACATGTGTAGTAATGGCTAATTCTGCCTGGGAAAATGGAAGATACCGGAAGAGAAGGGGGTTTTGAGTGATTTCAGGGAGAGAGAAGAGCATGTAAAGCTCCAGAGAGGCATGCAAGGTCCCATAAGAGTCTAGCTTGACTGTAGCATGAAAAAGTGAGAAGGAATTTGTTGGTGCCCCTGGACAGAAATGTGGGTGGGAAAGAAGGGCTCAATATGCTTTGCTAATGGAGTTGTATTCATCTTTATTGGATGAAGTAATAATAAAGTTTTTCAAGCCAATTTTGAGGATGGGAGAAGGTAACAGTCTGGACTCCACACTCCAGTGGATAAACTCTATTGGGAAGAGAATGGAGAAAGAGGAACAATAGTTAAGGTAAGGGAAAAGAAACTAAGATGTGAAGCAGCAGGCAGGGACAGTCATGATATTTTATTGACTCGAATCAATAATGGGAAGAAAATCAAGTAGAAAATCAAGACTTGGAGAAAAAGATGGAGAAGAAATAGAAGCGGGGAATATAGTTAGCCTCTACCTTGTTTTAAAAATAGTTGTTGAAATGAATGATGTAATCCACTAAACAGGCTAATAAAGAAAAATTACCCGAGCATACCAATCAATAAAAAATGAAATCATTTGTCAAAATCCAACACCTATTCATGACGAAAAACACATGGAAAACTAGGAATAGAAGATAACTTCCTCAATTTGAGAAATAATATCTACAATAAAAAACTTTACAGATAATGTCATACCTAACGGTCAAAGACTGCTTTTCCAGCAAGATCAGGAACAAAGCAGAGATATTCACTCTCACTACTCTTAATTTGACATAGTATTGTAAATTCTATCCAGCAAAGAAAAGGCAAAATAGAAAATAAAAGGTATCTGGATGAGAAAGAAAAATGATACAACCACCTGACTTTGTAAATGGCATAAGCTATACCTAGAAAAATCCAAAGAATCTACCAAAAACTCCTAAAACTAATAAAGGAGCTTAGTAAGTTTACAAATTATACCTAGGAAATCCGAAAGGATCTACCAAAAACCCCTAGAAGTAAGATATGAGCTTAGCAAGATTACAAGATAAAATCAGCAGACAAAAAACAATTGTATTTCTATATCCTAGTAATGAATATGTGAAAATTAAAATTAAAAATTCAATTACTATGATTTTAATACTTGGGTTCCTTCCAGAGTTCATATTGAAATTTAATCCCTAGTTCAACAATATTAAGAGGGGGACCTTTAGGAGACAATCAGGCCATAAAGGCTCTGCTCTCATGGCTGGGATTAGTTCCTTATAAAAAAGCTTGATGGAATGAGTTTGGCCCCTTTTGACCTTCCATCTTTTCTGTCATGTGAGGACATAGAACAGCAGTCAAAGTACCATCTTGGAAGCAGAAACCTGGCCCTCACCAGACTCTCAACCTGCTGGCACCTTGATATTGGACTTCCCAGCATCCAGAACTGTGAGGAAATAAATTTCTATTCTTTATAAATTACTCAGACCTAGGTATTTTGTTATAGCAGCACAAATGGATCGAGATACCAAGAACGTTTGTAATCACTGAGAAAAAGAAATACTTAGGCACAAATCTAACAAAACATGTACAGGACTTGTATAATGAAAATTATAAAGTGCTGATAAAATAAATCAAAGATCTAAATAAGTGGGGAGACATATGTTTACAGATCAGAAGACTCATCATATTAAAAATGTGAATTCTCACTCCAATTTATTTAATGCAATTACTGTCAATATTTCAGCAATATTTTTGTAGATATAGACAAGATTATTCTATAATTTATAATAAAAAGACAAAGGAACTAAAATAGCTAAAATGATTCTGAAAAAATAGGTGGGAAGAATCACTCTACTCAAACTACAGTAATCAAAACTGTGTTACCGGCAGAGGGATAGACAACACAGATTAATGAAACAGGGTAGGAACACAGAAACAGACTCACATAGTATGGCCAACAGATTTTTTTTTTTGTACAAAGGTGCAAAACAATTCAATGAAGAAAGGATAGTCTTTTCAGCAATGCTGCTTGAGCATTTGAATATCCATAGTGAAAAATTGAACCTAAACGTTGCACTTTATACAAAATTAACTCAAAATGCATCAAATATGTAAATGTGTAATGTAAAACTATAAAACTTTTAGAAGAAATAGGAGAAAATCTTCATGACCTTGGACTTATTGAAGAGTGCTAGACATGAAACCAAAAGCACAATCCATAAAATGAAAAAATTGATACATTGCACTTCATCAACTTCTAAAACTTTTGTTCTATGATGAACCCTATAAAGAGGATGAAAATACAAGCTACAGACTAGGAGAAAATATTTGCAAACCACCTATATGACAAAGCCTTTGTGTCTGGACTATGTGAAGAACTCTTAATAGTAAACAACCCAATTAGAAAATAGGCAAAAAGCATGAAAACACCTTTCATGGAAGAGGATAAGGATTACAAATGAGCCCATGAACAGATGTTCAATACCACTACACAATAATAAAATAGAAATTAAAACCACAATGAGACATCACCACATACCTATCAGCAAGGCTAAAAAAAAAAAAATGATACCACCAAATGCTGACACAGATGCAGACACCCTTGATCTCTCATACAATGCAGGTGGAAACACAAAATGGTACAGCCACTCTGGAAATTAGTAGGGCAGTTTCTTAAAAAACAAATATATACTTAACACATGACCGAGCAATTGTATTCCTGGGCATTTATGCCAGAGAAACAAACAAACAAAAAATCCACAGAAAACTGCCATGTAAGTGTTCTTAGAAGCTTTATATGTAATAGCCCAAAACTTGAAACAATAAAAATGTCATTCAGTAAGTAAATTGCTAAACCAACTGTGGTACATCCATACCATGGATTATTACTTAGCAATAAAAAGCAATGAACTATTACATACAACAACTTGGATAGATCTCAAGGATATTATGCTGAATCAATAAGAAAGCCATTTTCGAAAGGCCACATACTCTGATTCAATCCTATATTACACTCTTGAAACGCAAAACTTACAGAAATGGGGAACACAGTAAGTTACCAGAGGTTGGGGTTGGTAAGGAAGGGTGAATGTGACTATAAAGGGGTAGAATGAGAGAGATCTTTGCCGTGATGGAATAGTTCTGTATCTTGATTGCAGTGGTGATTATAGGAGTCTACATATGTAATAATATGTCATAGAGCAATTTGCACACATTGTACCAATGTCAATTTCCTGGTTTTAATTTTGTAGTATAATCACTTAATATGCAAAAATTCAGGGAACTGAGAGAAGAATACATGACACTGCTCTGTACTATATCTTTGAAACTTCCTGTGTATATATAATAATTGCAAAATTAAAAGTTATAAGAAAGTTTGTCCAAATATTAACAGAACTTACTGCCCCATGACAGTTTATGGATTATTAATGCTTTGTCCTTCGACATCTTTTTGTACTTTCCTATTTTCTCAAAACAGCCTGTTTTTTTTTTTTTTTACAATCAGGAAAAAAATGCATTCAAATGGAATAAAAATAAGTCTAACTTCTTTGTTGATGGCTCAAAGCTAAAAGTGAGAGGCAGATGGGGCCCACGAATAGTAGACCTTGAGATGCAACTTTTCTGCAAAATTGCATGTGAAACGCAGCCTAAACAGAGTCATTTCCAGAATTTCCTCATTAATCACTGTCTTCCTTTTTACTTAGTTAGCTAAAACATAGTAAGCCACATCCTCTCTTTAAATATCTTAAACAAAATTAACTGAGGCAATATTCTTACATCCACTACATAAGTAAATATTAGCCTAGAAATATGAAGTTTCTGAAGCCAAATTTCTAAGTTACCCTTAATCCTCTAGTATTATCAAATTAAGTAGCCCTTGAAAAAAGTAGAGACATATTCGTATCAAGTAGAGACATACTAGTTAATTGCTGTAAATATACATGCATTAGACACCTTTAACGGCCTCCCATGCATGCCTACATTTTCTCTCTCCCACATGTCCTCCTCTCCAGAGATAAAGTTGTCTTTCTACAACGTCACTCTCCATTACCTCCAGGAAAAATTCCAAATTCCTTAACAAGTCTTACCATGCCCTCGATGATTTAGTCCCACTTTCCTTTTCTTTACAGAGCATCTGTCACTTGCTATCCTTCCCTCTGTCTCCAGGCTTTAGTACCAGATTTGGTGATGCTTGAATTTCTAAGCATAATTAGATCATACTCACCTGTGAACACTTAGAAAAAAATTGCTCAATAATTATTTTCTTTTCAAAATGTAGACCAAGGTGATGGCAAAAATCCTGTTATTGATATGCTAGGGAAAAGGGGTTCTTCTTTAGTAATAGAATATTTATGGATCTCTTTCTGTATCAGTTTGGAAAGCAATGCTATCCCATATTAGTTAGATTCAGTGGCAGAATTAACTCAATATTTTGTTTAGTCCAACCTTAAGCATTATGGAGAATGAAAGCACTGAACACAAAAATATGGTGGGATGTTGGGATCCCTTTGAGTAGGTCCAAGTTTACTTGCAGCTCCTGGGAATGAAAAAACTCAAGTTTCATCACCAAAGACCAGTTTGATTCTAAAGTTATTAATAACTATAACTGTGTAACCCTGATTTTCCCATAGCTATTTTCACTTTTATGTGAACTAGGTAGCTTTTGGAAGTAATATCACAATAAAGGCAAACAGAACTAATGTTGATGATGCTATTATCCAGTGCTTACTCTGAAGTACCTTCAAAGCTTCACATGCTCCATTTCACCATTGCCACTATTAGTCTAGTTATCAAGAGAAAAAAAATCATTCCAATTTCTAGGTGTTTGAAAACAATTAACTATATGTTGTTACCTCTCAATGGGAATGAAAAAGCCCAAATTGTCATTAGAGTCTTGTGGAAATGGCATTTTTTTTCCCTTTAAGAACTGAACTGTGTCATACTCTGTCTCATTATATTATATTAAACATAGGACATAGTTATGATGTGCTGCCCATATCACTGAAGGGATATGAAATTAAATTTATGGGTTATCTTTTCCAGGGAAAATTCCCTTTCAAAACTTTTATTAATAACAAGTGCCAGTTAGATTAGATGCCCA
The DNA here is from genome assembly GCF_000001405.40 of Homo sapiens. Lineage (NCBI taxonomy): Eukaryota > Metazoa > Chordata > Mammalia > Primates > Hominidae > Homo > Homo sapiens. Next base: position 93,494,516 of record NC_000004.12, on the reverse strand, counting down.
TAGATATCTAATTTTAAAAACAAGGTAAAATTTTATGAAATTATTCAGCTTCCCCAAAATAAATCTATTAGATTGCTCCCAGCAAAGTGGAAGAGTTTCTGTCAACCATCAATTCAAAGAAGCTGATTTCTCTCCCTCTCTCTCTCTCTCCCCTTCACTGACATTCCTCTAACCACCTCTGCCCATTGTAGTCTGCAGAAGCAACGCTGAATTTTGGAAATGAAGCTATGGTTGGCATGTGTTTGCCAATGGCACAGCAAAATTGGGCTGGAAATAGTACATTGACATGCACTGCAGCTTCATTTGGTGATGAGCAAATCTTATTAATATAAATGATTAAGAAGCATGACATTGAATGCTACTTTGAAAAAAAGTTTGTCTTTTCTAAGAAAAATTAGAATTTTCCCAAGAAACTTTGGCATTAGTTACAAATGAGATTTTGAATGTTTCTAAGAAACACTGCAGGCAATTATGTTTACCAACACTGTTGAGGCATGAAATTAGAAGATATCTTTAAATTTCGGGAGGGAATCTGGCTTCTTTTAACTTATTTGGCTCTGATTCTCTCATTCCAAAATTAGTCCAGTGATAATATTACAAGGAAGTAGAGATTTATTATACCCACTGATGACTTTTAATAATGCCAGTTGGCATTGGAAAGGAATGATTTTTTAAAAAAATGAATGCAAAGTTACTTTGGGCAGTAGAACTACACTTGAGGGAAACATGATGTGAAATTACAATCTTTTTCCATCAGGTTTTACTTTTAGATAAACCTATGGATGAAAAATTTGAGACAGGCTTCTCCTCCCACTGCTATTGCATGAAAGTCTAGATAAAAACTGGTGCTGGCAAAGTTAGTAATAACTAAATAACTCAGATTTACAGACACCACAAAGTCTGCAACCTCAGAGAAATACCATATCAAGCAAACAAATTCTAGGACCCACCACTAGATTAAAAAAAAGAAAAAAAAAAGAATTTGACAGGTAAGGCCACGGATTGGTGTCTGATTGACATGGATTGGACTCTCAACTCTGACACTTATTGAGTGTGTAATCTTAAGCATTATCTTCCAAACTCTGTTTCTTCATCCATAAAATGGCAATAAGAAGAGTACTTGTATTATTAAGGTTATTTTGTGGAATAAATGAGATGATATTTGTAATATGCTTAACTTCTGGTTCATTATAAATTCTCAGTCAATGTTAACCATGATTTTTTGTTTACTATAATGACAGTTGTTGTTTACTGCATAGGATCAGTTATTTTATTTAAACTTTTTACGATTTATTTATTTAAAAACACTTCAAAGTCAGATGTGAACTACATAAATTTTGAGCTTTAAGGATACCCAAAATGTGACACATTCAACATAATTGATAAGAAATATGTTAATGAAATAAAATACTCAATTTTATTGATTAAAAACTGTTTTGCTATTTGCCATTTGCAACAACATGGATGAACTTGGAGGATATTACACTAGGTGAAATAAGCCAAACACAGAAAGACAAATATTATATGATATCACTTATATGTAGAATCTAGAAAAGTCAAACTCGTAGAAGCAGGAGTAGAATGGTGGTTGCCAGGGGCTAGAGTATAGGGAAAATGTGGAGATGTCGGTCAAAGGGTACGAACTTTCAGAAGATGAACCAGTTGTGGGAATCTAATGCACAGCATGGGTGGTGCATTTGATTGTGTCAATTATTTCACAATGTATATGTATATTGAATCATCACATTGTATAACTTAAATATGTACAATTTTTATTTGACAATTAAGCTATTTTTCTTAAAATGACTTCTATTGATTGGATTTGCCAAAGTCTTACCCTGAATGGTAGATACCAATTATAGACATAATTAACTCATGTTGGGATATATGCCTACATGCCTATAACACAAAAGTCACCTAACTTTTGATACTCTATTTCCTCAGACCAGTTGAGGATTTGGAGAATTTCATCCTTTACATCCCTTAGCAATGGAAAATGCTATGACGAGTTTCTTCTTGTGTTCTCTAAAACCTAAGATTCATACAGAAATTCAAGTTCAAGTGTGGTGTGGGAACTAACATGATGCAGTTAGAATGTAGGCTCAGGAACCAGATTTAAGATTTGGTCTTTACTCAGTCACTTACTAGCTGCAGGCTTTGGGTGAGTTACTTATCCTCTCAACTTTAGTTTTGTCATTTATAAAATGAGTTATTCATAGTATGTATTTTTGAAGATGATAGTAAGTTTTAAATAAGCTAATGCATCACAAAATCTGGCTTTTTGTAAGTGATCAATAAATGTTTATTATTATTTTCATAATTTTACTCATTTCATTGATCTTTTGGCTGGGCTGTTGTAATCATTTTCATATTGCTTAAAGTATGATGCTTATGGGGTCACCAGTATAAGCTTTCCATCAATGGTATAAGTTTCACTCTGTATGATTTGTAATTTATGTCACACATAGATCTATTTACATGGACAATAAATTGGGGGAATATGAAGGTTCTGTATCAAAGGAATAATTGGAAAACAACTTGAGCAGCATGATTTCATGAGAGAAACTAGAAACATCAATTTTATGAATGGATAAAATAATTGACTACTTATTAGCATTACTAGTTGAATATGGGAGTTTCAATTTGTATAATGAGCAAATAGAAAATAATACCCTATTTATTTATAGATAATTAATTCTTAACTTTTTTGGTATTATGCTATAATAGTTTTGTGGCTACTAATGAATTTAATTTACATTCTTTTTAAAAGAAAATAACTACCCAGATTTTCTTTTCCAAACAAGTTACATTCCTAAGGAATTCCCTGACATATCTAATTATTCTGAATTTGAATTGTCAGCTTTTTGGGAAATGAATGTCCAACTTTAGGAAAATTCAAACTTACCTTGTTTGGGGATGAATAAAACATTTTCAGGAAAATTTTTCTTAAAACAATATATAGAACATTATGTTCTAATAAGGCAGAAATTATACTGTGGTGTTGATCTTATAGCATGAAACCACAAAAGCAAAACTGGCTGTGGTGGATAAAAGGCCCTTGGGCTCCACGGGCTTACGGAAATGGCATTTGTGAATTGAGACACTGGCTTAGGTAACTTTTAGGATTAAATAAGTGCACCATAGTTAATCACTATTTCCCAGCATTCCAACTGCAACCAGTAAATAGCAGCAATAAGGACCACATGAAGTATAAGGTAATGAAGAGAAAAACAGAATGTGGTTACTGAAATACTATAATTTTCTGTTGATTGCTATTCCCCTCCCTTTTCTTTTCTCCCCAATCCCCAATCATCCGTCTATCTCTCAAACATCTGTATCTATTCAACTATTTATTCTGACAGTACATAATGGGACAGACTCAAGGCAAAGATTTCCTTTTAAGTATGACTCTTTTTTTTCTTCCTTTTCACAGTGTTAGTCAGATATAGTCATTCTTTGTGGACACTAAAATTCTGAAGATGTGTTATCCTTCCAGGAAAATGTGGGAAGCAACATTGAAATCATAGCCAAATTTTTACTTTATAAAAAATGCTCTACCAATACTGCATTTCCAGGACTTGGACTAATCAGTGATACTTTGCAGTAACACAAAATTGATCCTTTACTCAAAGAGAAGTTGTACATTTATTATGAGACACCACATACTTATTCTCAGATAGCTTTGGCCACTCTTATCATTTCTCATATTTTGTGGCTAATGGAAACATTGTTTACTTACTGGATGGAACTTTCAATGCGTGTAATAGTGAGGAAAGCAGCGAGGTTTGCCGTGTAAGATGAGATAACAATCAAAGCAAATAGCCACCAAGCCCCCATCATCATTCGGGTAGCCAGAGTCGTGTACGGGACTTCCCCGCCTGTAGAAAGAAGCAAAGAGATAAAAAGAACATCAACTAGTATTTATTGAGGATCTGAAGTCATCTATATTCAACACCAAATTAACTTGCAAGTAGTGAGAATTTTTTCTGCTTAACATCAACATAGATCTCTATATTTTCATCACTCCATATTTAATTCTCTTTTATGAGATTATGAAAGACCCAGCCAAAAGAAGCATGATAAATATTTAGTATAACATGTTTAAATGATAGTTCTTCCCCCTTCCTGTTCAACCCTATAATTAATTACCTTTTATTATAATCACAGGTATATGCTTTCTTTCCAAGGGCTTGATTATTCATTAGTTAGGTGACATTAATATTGCTATGCCTATATTTAATACAAATTTTCAGATTTCCAGTTAAATAAATAATATTGAAAGGATTATTTTTTGTTATATTCTCTAGAAACATAGCTTGTTAATGATCATGGGATCACACATATTAGTGTTGGCTTCAGCATCACATACTTGCTTTGTTCTACTTTTAATTGACTTCCTACTCTTACAATCTTGTTGCAGAATCCTCTTCTCCATCTTTTAAATGTTGGAGTGTTCTTGGGCTCAGTCCTTAGACTGCTTCTCTTCTCTGTCCATAGTCTCACCATGGACAATATCAACGAGTCCCCTGACTTTGACTATGATCTACAGTATACTTTGATAACACTAGAATTTACATTTCTAGCCCCCTACCTTGACTCTTTCTAGAGAGCTATAGATAAAAGCCTACATGATTCTCACTTGCAATTCAATATGCATCTCTAACTTATGACATCTAAAACAGAACTCATTTTATTTTACTCCCAAATTAACTCTCCTTCAAGCCAGTCCACACCATGTCAGGGAATAGCACCACTATTTACTTTATTTCTTAGACCAAAAATAGGAATTTTCAAACATCTTCTTCAATAGCAAGTCCTGTCACCATTACATTCAAATTACATCCCAAATCCTACCTCATCTCATCCTGTCTACTGCTGACACCCAATTCAAAGATGACATCTTTGACTCTACTACTGAACTACTTATGTGGTTTCCCCATTTACTTACATTCTAGAGAGTACCTCTCCTAAGTCTATTACCATGGTGCCTTTATAAACGAAAATCAGATCAATGGGATTCCCCTATCAAAGCTTCCAGTGGCTTCCCAGGACTCTTTAAAAAATAAAATAAAAATCTCTACCAAGGTTTACAAGACTCTATGTATACTGATCTTAGGTCAATTGTCTGACTTTATTTCTTACCATTCTCTCAATGGCTTTCTTGAAATTTCCTCTATAGAGCCATGCCGATATATGTCCCAGGGCCCTTGCATTTGCAAATGGTTATGCCTAAAATTTTCTCCTCTATAATTCATAAATTCCGTCTTCCTTCAATTTTTTCAGGTTTCTGCTCAGAGGATATCTTTTTATAACAATCTTTTATCACCACTCTATCTAAAATAACTCCCCACAACCCTATACTGCCAATTCCTTTATCTTTTTAAAAATAACAATGTATTAGGCTTTAAACATTTTTGTTTATTTCCGTCCTTTATAATTTTTGATATAGGAACAGTCCTTGTCCCATATTAAGTGGGTAATGTTTTTTTGAATGAATATGTGCTGTGTTATGGACTAAATTATTTCTCTCTCAAATTCATGTCCTGAAATTCTAACCCACAATGTGATTGTTATTTGGAGATAGGACCTTTAACTAAGTAATCAAGGTATAGTGAGATTGTAAGCATGGATTCTAATCCGATATGACTGGTGTCCTTATCAGAAAAGGAAGAGACACCAGGGATGCACATGCATGGAAGAAAGGCCATGTGAGGACACAGCAAGAAGGTGACCATCTGCAAGCCAAGGGGAGAGGCCTCAGGAGGCACCAAACTGGCTGACACCTTGATCTTGGACTTCCAGCCTCTAGACCTTTGAGGAAATAAATTTCCATTGTTAAGCCACCGAGTCTGTGTTATTTTTTATGGCAATATTATTAGACTAATACATGCTATATGTGAACTATTAATAGGCCTTCTAAAAGAAGTTAGTTTTATACTCACGGTGGAAATAAAGAGATACAATACTACTTTCATGTAGTTCTATCAATACGTGAATGACTTAACAGGATTCGATTTACTATAATATCAGGCATATTTTAATTACAACCACGAGTTCCCACTACGTAATATGTCTAAATTTTATACGTGGGGTAAGTACACCCTTTGGTTATATTCTAAGCTATTCCCCTGATGTATTATATTCAGAACAGGCTAACCTCTGATATCTGGAACCCATTTTTCAAAATAAGTTACAATGCATTTTAGATACCTTCTTCTTAAAAGCAAAATAATTATTTGCCCAGCTTTTGAAAGGTAAAAGCAAAATAAAATATTTATTTTTACATCCATATGAGGATTTTCTGGTCAAAATAGCTAATTGAAAAAATAATAATAAAATGTGAACAAGATGATAGCCAAAGACTAAAAGATGTTAATATGTATAACAAAATTAGAACAATAAATTTATGAATGAAAATGCTAATTGGGCATTCATTTCTATTAAAGTTTTAGCCTTGATTAGAGTTGTTATCACCCACATAAAAGCATACTTGAGTTTTTTAATCTTTGTTATAAAAATTGCAACTCAAGGAACTCAAATATTCTTGTAGAATGCAAATAAAATGTTATTTGATAATTACATTTAGGAATCAAATATTAAAAGTAATGGGAATCTTGACTTCCAATTTTGGTAATGGTTGGTAATGGTTGGTGGATGAAGCCATTCAGAACAATCCTCCCACTGACAACAACTAGAAAAATTGAATACATAATGTGTTTTCAGAGCTAAAGAGGCAGTAAAAATTTATAGGCCCAGAGTCCTGGAGAAGAAAATAACCCAGAAAGATAGCTTCATATTTGGAAATGGTTTTCCCTGAGGGGCATATACCAATTTAAAAAAAGAAAGCTAAGAAACTAACAAACTGAGGAACACTTTAAAAGTATTCAATGGTTAGGTGGTAATAAAACTGGGGTCCAGGGCTTGCCAAATGAGGGTGGGACTGAGACAACAAGAAAATCCCCAAATGAGCATAAATGAAGTCATGGGTCAAAGAAAATCACCAGAGAAATGAAAAGTACTTTGAATAGGATGATAATAAAAATACTCCATATCAAAATTTCACAAGTTTTGAAAGTAGATGGGATGCAGCTAAATTGTATTGAAGGAAACTGATAGCCTGCAATGTATAAGAAAAGTATTCTGAGTTACTCATCAATTTAAAGAAGTTGAAAAAAATCAGCAAGTTAAATGTGAACAAGTACAAGGAAGAAAATAATTAAGAGCAAAAATTAACAAAATAGATAAGAAATGCAATTAAAAGGTTGATCTGACAGAAGTTTGGTTCTTTAAAAAGACCAAAATAAGCTGTTGAAACTTACAAGGAAAATAAGTGAAGACACAAAAATGTAACAGGAATTTTAAAAGTACATTGTTACAGATGTTACAGATAATAGAAGGATAACTTATGTACAAATTTATGCCAATAAATTTGAAAATTAAGATGATATGGACAAGTTCCTAAAAAAGTTCCTCCCCAAAGAAATAGAAAATTTGAATGGTTTTGTAACTATCAAAGATTTCAAATCCGGAATTAAAACCTACGCACCACAAAATGTAAGGCCAGTGGTCTTACTAACAAAATCTACCAAATATATGAGGGAGTAATTAATTTTAATTGTACACAAATTCTTCATGAAGTTAGAAAAAAGCAAGACACTATTCAATCCATTTTATAAAGAAAGCACAACTTTGATAACAAAACCTGACAAAGTTATTCCAATAAAAGGCAATTATAGGCCAATCTTTCACATGATTGTAGATTCAAAAGGTAAATAAATTAGCAAACGGAGAACTGCATAAATAAACAGATAGGGTTTATTATAGGACAGCAAGATTGGTTTGGCATTCAAAAATCAATCATTGTAATTCGCTACTTTAGGACCAAAAGAGAAAAATTATATGATCTTGGCAGATGAAGAAAAGGTACAGATAAAGTTCAACATCCAGTCTTAGAAAAACAAAACCAAAACAAACCTAGAAATAACCAGCAAATTGGAAACTTTAAAAAGTGTTCATTATTTTTATAAAGAGTACTTTAAGAAAATCTATATCAAGTATCATACATACTAATAAAATAAAAATTTTTGACTGTCTTAAAGGACACAAATTGCTAACATTTCTATTCAGCATTGAATTGGAGTTGTGCTAGACTCTGTAGTCCAAGAAAAAAAATCAGAAAAAAGTATTTAGGAATTGGAAAGAATGAAACAAAAGTTACGGATTAGTGATGATATGAATATGTATGTAGAAAATCTAAGAGAACAAAGGATAAATTACTAAAATTAATAAATTAGTTATCAGCTTGCTATGTTACAGAATCAGTGTTCAAAAAAAGATTTTATTTATATATAACAGCAACACTGACAACATAGAATTAAAAAACATATCATTTGCAATAGCATTAAATGATCAAATAACTAGGAACAAACTCATTTAAAGATATGAGAGACCTCTACATGAAAAACTATAAAACTATTTTTGAGTAAAATAAAGGAAGATTCAATAAATGAAGATATAGCATGTTCATTGATTGAGAGACTTAATACTGTAAAGATATAAGTTCTCCTCAAATTGATCTATAGATTCAGTCAGTGAATTCCCAATTAAAAATCCCAGGTTGTGTGTATGTGTGTGTGCACAAGTAAATGTGCTTGAAGCTGAATGTAAAGTTTATATGAAGTTGCAAAAGTACAAAAATTGCCAAGATACTCTTCAGGAAGAAGAAAAAAACTGGCTCTTGATGACTATAGATTAATATAGTAATTAAGACAGTTGGTTAGTTGTACAAGGATAAACCAAATAAATAAATGAAAGTTGTCCATGCATACATAGGCACTTGATTTATACCCAGCTGGCACTAAAGTATGTACTATAGAGAAAGGGAGGTCTTTTCATTAAGTAGTTCTAGGTTAATTAGATATATGTATGAAAAATAATGAAACTTGTCTCTTAACTCATACTATACACAGAAATTAATACCATGCAGCCTATAGATATAAATATAAAAGGTAAACAATAAAGCTTCTAGAAAACTATATAGGAGAATATATCCACAAGTTTGGGTAGAAAAGGATTTATTAAACACAGCATAAAATGCATTAACACAAAAGAAAAGATTGATAATTTGACTGCAATAATACTTCATAGTTAAAAAGATACCATAAAGAGAGTGAAAAGACAAGCCACAGTAGAAGATATTTATAATACATATACCTAACAAAAAATCATCAATAAATATTAACTCCTATAAATCTATAAGAATAAATGAGACAACAATCAGAAAAATGGATAGGTGGTTTCATAAAAGAAGATAACCAATGGCCAATAAATATATGAAAAGGTAGCAATCTTATTAACTACTGGGGAAATACAAAATAAAAAAATACCACTCCACAGCCACCAGAATGATTAAAATAAAAAGATTTACAATAGCAAGTGTTGGCAAGGACATGGGACTATCAGAATGCTTGTACCCTGTTGTTGGGATTGCAAATTGGTTCAGTCAATCATTCTGATAAATGATCTCTGAAAACTAACGTATGCATATCTTAGAATACAGAAATTTCCCCCATTAGGTACATACCCACTAGATGAATGTACATACCAAGAGACAGAAATGTTTGTAGAAGCATTGTCATAATAGTCTAAACTGGAAACAGCCCAAACATACTTTGAGAGTAGACTGGATACCTCCTTACATATTTTAAGTTTGGCCTCAAGGTTTCTTCATGCGTAGTGAACTGTGACCTAACTGGATGTACAAACAGACTGTAACCTACTCTTGTACCAATCACAGAGTTTCAGCCAACTATAGGTGACCAACTGTTCAAACTGTGTTCAAATAAGGCAAATGTGGAGCTGTAATCAATCCAGCTGTTTCTGTACTTCACTTCCATTTTCTGTATGTCACTTTCTTCTTTCTGTCCATAAATATTATCTAATCTTGTGGCAGCCCCCCAGTTGCTCTGAACCTATCTGGTTTGAGGGGCTCCTCAATTCCTGAATGGCTCTTTGCTCAATTCAACTCTGTTAAATTTCATTCATCTAAAGTTTTTTTTTGAACACAAACAATAAAATATTGCACAACAATGAAAACAAGCAAATCTCACTTATAAACAACACCATTAATGGGTTTTATGAACCTAATGTTGGGTAAAATAATTCACACTGTATAATAATTGTTCACAAGCAAGCAACATGAATGGCAGTGTTGATGATCCCATGGATGGTTACCTTTGGGAAGAGTGAAAAATGATTGAGGAAAAGGAAATGGGGGCTGGGTCACTGGTAATGTTCTATCTTTTCCTAGGTGGCAATTATACAGGTGGACCATTGCTGGTAATTCATTGAGCTGCACAATATGTTACGTACTTTTCTGTAGGCAAATAATACTTCACAATTAAAAACTAAATAAAAGAAGAAAATAAGGAGAGAGAATAGTGAATTTAATAATGATATTTGTTTTCTTTCTCCTTTTTTTATCCACAATTAGAAAAAAAATATGCATTTTCATAGAGTCAGGATGCCAGAAGAGAGAATTAGGTAAAGGACAAAATAATTATGTGCCAAATTAAAAAAAAAACATAATCTCACCTTGCTAAAAAAGTATTGCAAAAATTAGGCTGATACTTCATGACACTTCAGAGTGTGCAAAGGTCTGACTCTGAAGTTGGGTATTTGGATTCCTATAGCCCTTGATAAGTTTAAAGTGCTCTGCTAAAGCATGAAAAATTTTTATTTTCCAAAGGACCCCTCTGTTTTAAGGAAAATCCTCTTGACCAGATTTTCATTTTGATGTGATTGTTTTACCACATGAAAAACTACATTAACCTTGCTACTGTATACATTAGCTTACTTAAAAAAGTTGTTAAAAATAAGCAATTTCTTCAGGCAAGTTTGGGAAATTTGATAAATCCATCTGAGTCAGGCAAAAATTTGTTATTCTAAGTCTTATTCTGTGTGAGTATATATGCATCTTTGTGTTTCCATGAAATATGAAAAAGCAATTAATTGTTGAAGAGTCTCCAATTTGGTTGTTTGGTAAATCCACTTCTTATAGGTTTAAACACTCACAACATTTTTAATTTGTAATCTGGAATGGTGGGATTATTTTATAAATTATAATTAGAAAAAAATGGGAGAAAACTAATACCTTTTTTAAAAAAATAAACATTCCTTTTTCAAGAGTTGGATCTTTATTGGAAACAGGTTACTAACAAAATGGCTAAAAACTCATAGTAAATAGAAAATTTTCATTATTCAAGCTGACTGAATAGTTCATGTAAGCTGATCAATTAAAATGTAAATAAATATTAGCGTGTTTTACACTTACAGAATCACAATGTAGAAAAACAAAGAAAGATGATATTGTTGGAATTTGTGTGGAAGTCATTGCCAGCATAAGCATATTCTACATTTAAAGATAGGAGGAGATAATGTATATATCATCTCTGAAATGCTTCATTTATGCCAGTCACCTTTATATAAGTATTGCTTAAAGTTTATTGATAGTCAAATTGAGAGATACTGTGACCAGATCTGTAAGTGTTTTATTTTTTTGACAGAAGATGTGGGGGTAATAAGGAAGTGAACAAGAGATACAAGTGCGGTTTCCTGTTGTCCACAGGATAATGGGTTCACTATATTGAACCCATTTGCAAGCTAGGGTAGATTTTCTACAACATGACATGTCTATCATGGGTATAAGAGATGGCTTTTTGTGGTAGGGAGAGAGAGCACAAAAATCACATCATGTTACAGTGAGTAAGTTGTTCCATTTACAATTACCTTTTAGAATTTATTTATTTATTTATTTATTATACTTTAAGTTCTGGGATACACGTGCAGAATGTGCAGGTTTGTTACATAGGTATACATGTGCTATGGTGGTTTGCTGTAAACATCAACCCGTCATTTAGGTTTTAAGCCCCTCATCCATTAGGTATATGTCCTAATGCTCTCCCTTCCCTTGCCCCACAACCCTCGACACGCCCCGCTGTGTGATGTTTCCCTCCGTGTCCATGTGTTCTCATTCTTCAACTCCCACTTATGAGTGAGAACATGTGGTGTTTGGTTTTCTGTTCCTGTGTTAGTTTTCTGAGAATGATGTTTTCCAGTTTCATCCATGTCCTTGCAAAGGACATGAACTCATTCTTTTCTAAGGCTGCATAGTATTTCATGGTATAAATGTGCCACATTTTCTTTATCCAGTCTATCATTGATGGGCATTTGGGTTGGTTTCAAGTCTTTGCTATTGTGAATAGTGCTGCGATAACCATATGTGTATGTGTCTTTATAGTAAAATGATTTATAATCCTTTGGGTATATACCCAGTAATATCATGGTAAGAACAAAGCCTCAGATAATAAGGTTCTGAAATTTTGATTTTACTTTTACAAAGAAAATTCAAATCTCAAACTCCTTTTGGCATTCAATGGAACTAATTTGTATTCAATGTTTCATTTACATTAAATGTATTTTATAGTTATTTTCTATTGAATGCAATGACATTCCTTTTAAGTTGCATTAGTGAATATTACCATTATTAAGAATAATATAAACCCTTCTGTAATCTGAATTTCAAGCATTCCAATCTCCTATGCCATCTTCAATCTTTTGACCTTCCTCCCTCCATCAAGCCTGCAATCCCTCTGGGATCTAAGATGCACTGACCCTGCTCATTTTTGCTGTCCCTCTCCACCCTCCTAGAAACACTTCCTTCTTAAATTTAGTAATTGAAACAGAACCATAAAAATGAGATTCTGAGATTGGATTGCTCCCATATCTCTGTAGCACATATTGATGGGAAATGGAACTGTGACAATTTACAGCCTGTGGTTACATTACAATTGTTTAAATAACCACCAGAGTTGGCATGGAATGAAGTGCAGGTGGAATGCAAGGCCATGGCAATAATAGTGATTTTGAAGATTATGGTTCCAGCTAACTGCTCTGAAGTCTCCGAATGAATACAGAGTGCAAATGAGAAACTTAAGGCCATGAATGCCTAGCTCAGAAATAAGGTAAAATTTTAATATCTTGATGGCAGTTTTGAAGAACTCTCTTTATCCTGTAGTTTTAGGGTAGATACTGCTGAGGACAAGATTAAGGCTTGACTGTAGCACAGCTTAATTGCTGATTAAATCTTCTGCCATATAAGATATCTCATGCATTGATAAGAAATTTGAACTTTCAAATTCTTCTGAACCTTCTTGTTATTGGAAGCAACCTCTCACCACTTCTGAGGGAATCAGCCTTCTTCTGCACAAATGCTTTTCAATAACTTGACATAGGAAATTTCACGGATCTCTTCTGGACTCACCACGTTACTCCTTATTGACTCCATGCTACAAATTAGGTCCCAAAATAATTGAGTCAAAGAAGTATAAAGCCCACTTATAAAAGTTTACACCAAATAGTATGACATTAAGTATCTATTAGGGCAAATATATTGTCATGGGTGGTAAGATTTCAGATTTGGGATTTAATGTGCTGACTTGATACTTGGGCAGGGGGTGGTAGTAATTCATTAGATTGGCTAATTAAAGAATGAACCAAAAATGCATGAAATTTGAAAATAACCTATATACAACCTCCCTGGCCTACTGTAGAGATTCAGGGAGGTGGGAATGTTGGAATGAATCTGTTCCAAGAAACTTGGTCACCTCTCTTACATGAGAAGGCCAATCCCTACACAAAGACATTAAAAAATGCATGGAAGGGGGCAGAACACAAGTATCTCTGAAGAGTTCTGTGTGCTTCTCCTCTGAAGTCTCAGATAACACTGGGGAATCCTGCAATAAATTGCATTTCTTGATCCAAAATGAAAGCAGTATCCCAGGTAAAGGCGTGGTGTGGATGACTAACTATAAGAGATGAGGTAAAATTACCACAGTGAGTCATGGCTGTTTCTCAGTGATAATTGAAGTGTATTATCTTCAGAGAACTATAGTAATAGCTTATTGATCACAGTGACCCTAAAAATAAAATAGGTGCCTCTATTTACATAATTTACATAATATACAATCTATTAATTACAGGTTATACTTTATAAACCATTAAGGTGCTTCTTGATATGTATGGATAGAAAAATTCCACATCTGAAGGCAGAAATCTAGCCTCAATTGCTGAGTGGGAATTTGGAACCTCTTATCTAGTTCCCAGAACTAACCCAGTGTATATATTCAGAAGCCCAATACTGAAGAAGGGGTCAAGGTAGCATTTTTTGATATGTCCTTTTTTGGCATTTTTAATGTGATTTTTCAGTAGTAATGGTCAGGTCAAACATACAATTTTGTATCCTATTTACTACATCTTCAATGGCTGAATGATATTGCTCAGTCAGTTCTACTATAGCTTATTTAAGTATTCTCCTAGTTTAGAAAAGTTGGAGATTTTTATTCTATCACATATTACATTGCTATAAACATCTTCAAACATGTAATGTTTTAAATATTTTGACTTATTTTCTTTTGACAGAATCCATGAAGAAAAGCTATTTTGTGAATGAAGTTAGTTTTTTATATCTTATACAAGTAAAGAGAATTTTCAAGCACATTTTATAACATGATTTATTGAAAAAATAGTGATAGGTAATGTCATTTCTCTATTTTTGCTATGGCTCATTTTAGGTGTCAACTGGATTCAGGAACAGACAACTGGTAAAACGTTACTTCTGGCTGTATCAGTGGGGGCTTCCAGAGAAGACTGGTGTGTGACTCAGTGGACTGAGTGAGGAAGATTCACCTTCAATGTAGGTGGGTACCATCCAGTTAGCTGGCGGCCCAGATAGAACAAAAAAGGAGAGAAAAGGATTTCTTCTCTCTATGTCTCCTGGAGCTAAAACACAGTTTTTCCCCTGCCCCTGGACATCAGGATCCCTGGTTTTCTGGCCTAGGGACTCCAGGACTTATGCTAGTTCCCCGCCCCATCCCCACTCCCAGGTTCTCAGGCCTTTGGCCTGGGACTGAGAATTACATCATCAGCTTCCCTGGTTTTGAGGCTTTTCTTAGTGTTTCAGAATCTCTAGGTTGCAGACAGCCTGTCATGAGAATTCTCAGCCTCCATAATCATGTGAGCCAATTTCTCTAATAAATCCCCACTCAAATATCTATATCTACATCTCTATCTATCTATATATAGGCATACCTCATTTTATTGAATTTCACTTTATTGCACTTCACACATTTTTTTACAAACTTATTTTTACAAATTGAGGCTTTGTGGTAACCCCGTGTTGCAAAGCACCATTTTTCCAGCAGTACATGCTTACTTCATGTCTCTCCATCAGCATTTTTTAGCAATAAAGTATTTTTAAAATGAAGGTATGTATATTGCTTTTTAGGTATAATGCTATTGGACACTTAAAAGAATACAGTATAGTGTAAACCTAACTTTTATATGCACTGGAAAATTAAAAAAAATTGTGTGACTCACTTTCTTGGGATATTTGCTTTACTGTGGTGGCAAAAACTGAACCTGCAATATCCTCAATGCACGCCTCTATGTATCCTATTGGGTCTGTCTCTCTTGATAATCTGACTAATATAATTGTTATTTCAGTTGGTTTTAAATGACTAAATATTGTTATGGACTGGCTATAGGTCTATTTGCAAATAAGCAAAAGAAGGCTACAAGACATTAGATCATGTAATTGAAATGAAAATTTCCTGTAGACTTCTCTGACTTAATATTTACATGTCATAGGCATTATGATACTTGTAAAGCTTATAAATAGCAGTTCCTTCTTTCCACCACTTTTATATTATTTGTGCTTTTCTAGTTTGAAGAGTTCCATGTTGGTTGAATAATGCGTTTCAGTTTTTAATATATTTTAATGTTAACAGTTAAAATATAAAATGTTTATACTTAACATTAACATAATGTTAATTTAATATGTAGTTAGTTAATTTTATGTTATGTAGTTAATTATATAATTTAATATTTTATCATATTTAATCTATTAAAATTAATAGAATTCTTTTATACATACAAATGCCATCTATACATATTTACTTAAAATAAGAATGTTCTGAGCAAATAAAAATATGTTATTTCAAATTAGAACTTCCTACAGAAGGAGACGATCTTTATAATTTTTGAAACTTCAGACTTAATACCAGCAGTTAAGTTTATTTTACCAGACCCAATACCATAAAATATTTCTGATGAGCAGATATGAAAAATGCTAAATTAAAAATTAAAATCAAATTAAACGGGTGCTGGTTACCACACATAAACCTTACATGCTGATTTTAACTTAACTTTTAAGTGCCAATTGCTATAACTCATATTAGAACTAAATTGAATTTTATTACACAAAAACATATTACTTGGCAGTTTCTTACTTTCACAATGTTTTTGTTACTCTAGCCTGTATAAAATTCCCACTGTTTCTAAAGAGCTAGGGAAAAAAAGAGCCCATTGAACATCAATCACAGATTTCAGGTTTCCAGTTTGTAAGGTGGGCTACATTACAATTTGACACAGTTGTATGTTAAGTAACAGTAAAAAATACTGAGGTAAGTGCTGCATTGAAATATAAACTCTCTTAAGTGCAATGTTAAGAACATATGGGTGAGTAATACACATAATGTTTATCATTAATTCCCCACCGCAAATTGATTAACTTTCCTGTCTCCAAGCATAGTGGCAGTGATAGCATTTAGAAACCCTTTCTGTAAATTCTATCTCTAGGTCTCATTTAATAAAGCCTTTTATTCCTCCATTGCACTAATTGCTTTGCATTCAGTTCTACTGGACAGTCTGATCATAGTATGAATGAAATGCACTAATATCCACTGAAAGTAGCTTGTTATACAAGAACTTTATTGGGTCAGGCAAATAAATTTTCCAGAACATTAATTAGCAAAGTTCTTTTTTATGGGACTGCTAAATCCATTTTGAATTGGTAAGTTTACTTTTTTATAGATTCTGAAATGACATTGAAATTAGAAGTTCTTTTATCTGTTTTAAGAGAGTGTTTCTAAACAAGCTTCTAAATATCTGAAATTGAATGTTTTGGTCGAAAGGCTTGGTAGTATTTGTGGCTGTTCATTGAAATTTCCACTAATTCATAGGTTTGCATCTCACAATATTAATGGATAATCAAAGCAGGTTTAGCACAAAGCAGAACGGGTCAGTGCTATGGCTGAATGACCTTCCGAACATTCATACTGAAATTTAACTGTCATTGTGATAGTCTTAACAGATGTAATCTTTAAGGGGCGATTAGGCTATACAGGCAGAACACTCATGAATAGATTAATATCATTATTTTAGGAGCAGGCTCATTGTCACAAGTGCAGGTTTTTACAAAAGTGAGTTCAGCTTTCTATTGTTCTCTGGCTACTTCTGGAAAGTTCTCTGGCTCTCTCACATTCTCTTGCCCCTCTGCCCTCCACCATGGGATGATGCAGCATGAAGGCCCTCACAAGATATCAGCACCTTGATATTGGACTTCCCAGCCTCCAGAACTATAAAATAAATTTCATTTATTATATCATGCCCACTCTGTGATATTTTCTTATAGTGAAACAAAATGGATTAAGACAGCCAGTCTGCCACATGTCTTCCTTAAATTTCCCATTATTTTTATATGCAACAAAAATGTATTTGTTTATTTCTTTTTCTGTTCTCATTTCCAGTATCTGTCAAAACTACCTTTGTAAATGTTAATGATAAAAATAAGACTATATCTTCAGAACATTGATATAAGTTTCAAAAACAATGGAGGAATATGTCCCAAACACTTATTGACTCCCAGAATACTTCCCATCACATGTATTGTTTCTACTACGTAGCATTTTGTCAAAACCACACACATATATTTAGAAATATCTTCAGCTTTTGTATTCACGCTCTTATATCTGTTCCATTTTGATATTTTAGAAGTTTTGTTAAAAAATAAAAAGGAGAAACCAAGTAGCCTCATTCTTTCTTTCCTGGTTTGGCTTTAGATATGCTAGATATTTTATAAGGGTGTAAGGCTAAGATTCTGGAAAAAGGCTTAAATGTATCGTAAAAAGCATTTTCCTATCTAATACTACAAAATTAAAACATTTGAAAGTTTAGAAATTCAATTGAAAAGAGGGAAAGATATTCAAACAAATCCCTTAATATCTTCAGAAAGCTTTCAGATAGTATGATTGAGGGATACACTGCAATTTTAAAAGACAATTTATATATCATCCCTGTGTTTTTCTCACTTCCACCATATTTAACATTTCATGTATTTTTTATTTATTTTCTGTGTATTAAATTACTTGATTTACACTGTAGGTGTTTTGTTTTCTACTTTTAACACATCATTGTATACCAATTGCCTATTTGCTCACCAATAAAGTAAACAACCAACCAAAAGAAGAACACAATGCATGGTTTGAATAAGGAATATAGTATGATTCTTTACATATATACAAATGCTACTTTCCAGAAGGTCTCAAAAATTATTCTCTTTTCTTTTTATACTTTTTTTTAACCTACTGATTTTACCACAGACCTGGCAATGAAATGAGGGCTGGGAAAGGCACCGAAACAGTAAATATTGTCTAGATGACTAGTCGTTTGTCAAACAGCATGAAGCAAGACTGCAGTTGAGTCAGAACCTGCCACTCTGTAGTGATCCATTAGCTTTTAATGTTTTAAAATAATTATAGTGAGGCCTAAGCCACTATATAAAACCACTATATAAATTCTAGTGCCATTAGCAACCCCATTTTTCAGAGATTCAATCAATCAGTAGTTCTGAGGAAAATTGCACCCATTTTGCCAGTCCCAGAAGCATGAAAGTTCAAAGGGTAAGCAGCAGTTGTCAACAGGAATCAAAGTGAAATGGATCTCAAAGTGAAGTTTTTAATTTGGAATTTCTGAGGTTGGTTACTAAACTAGGCCTTATGCATAAGTATGTCATTAGTTCTAAAAGGTCAGAGAATGCCAATACATTTTCAATCAGTTTTAATGATAAAAGAGCCAAAAGTAAGTCTAAAATACATTTTTAAGCCTCCAAAATGTCATTTAAAACCAGCAACCTGTTAACCACCACTGGAGATTAGTTTTAAATTAAAATGACTTTATTGAGCATACATTAGATTTATAATTTGATAGAGAAAAAGGGAATCATTTAACATTATGAATCTAGTCTTACAAAACAATATCAGCTTTCCTAATTTTGAATTTTCTTCCGTAATTTTCAGTTTTACAGAGCTCTTATGCTTAAGTTCTTAGGAGAGTATTTTAAAGAGTTGAAGAGAAAAATTGATTCTATTCTGATTTCTTTTCCACATATTCTTTTGAATAAGAGATTTAAAAATGGTTAAAATAATTTTTCCAGGAAGTTCTTACACTTTCAACTTACAGCCTCTGGAGTCACTGAGTTAGGGACTTGAATTGATGAGCAGTAGGAAAATCAGGAAACAAGGTTATTGTACTGGGCTGAAGCAGTAAATCAAAACCATGGATGTAACAAAGAGGAAGTAGGCTCAGGGAGGAAGGGGATCAGGGTGAAGTTGCAAAACAAAACAAAAAACTTATTAAACTCAGGTCAAGATCAGAGAGTAGGAGGTTACAAAGCAAAGGTCAGGAAACAAAATATGAAAGCCTCTATTTGTTAAGTATTTACTAAGGCATTATGCATTGTTTTAAGTGTTTTAGAACTGTATTCTTATTTAATCTTCACAACAGGCTTATGGTATGACTAGAAAAGCAATATTGGGCTTCCTAACCCAAGGTGAATATCATAGAGGAGTGGGGAAATAATACAATATATGATCACAGGCTATCATAGGGAAGGGAGAAAACCAGGCAGGGAGTGACATATGTCAGAGAATTTAGGAAGCCTCCTGGTGTCTCCGCCTCCAAGTACATGCGCCATTTCTTCCACCAAGGGTTCTGATTTATTATTTCCATTTCGTTTTCTCCCTCTATTCTCCTCAATGACTAGAATAAATAGGTTTAGATCATGGGCTTCCTACACTAAAAATTTAGGGCAGGTTCAAGCAAATAAATTTAAAACAAACAGAATAAGAGTTTGTCTATAAGACTCAGAAAAACTCCCCATTATTTTGAGTTGGAAATAATTTACTTAGACCAAGTTATTTAGATGATTCTAAAAAGCAGTCAACTTAAAACATAACCAATATAATGAATTGATGATCCTGGAAGATGTAAAGAAAATAGATGGAAGGTGATATTGCAATGACAAGAGATTCTAATGACAAGTAAGAGAAGTAATAGGTGAATAATTCTGTCCTCAGAGTTGTTCTAGGAGGCAGGCTGTGATTCTACATATCTTAACTTCATGTTCTAGTGATAACTCAACAAATGCATTTGTCGTTTCTCTATTTTAGTAGTAGTATATAAACTTTTAATTGAATCATAAGAAAATTCTAAGCACCCAGTATTGGAATTATAAATTGTTTTTATATTTTCTTTTTTAATTACTTAGGCAAATAACTTTTTATGTAATCTTAGATATAATAGATTATATGCTAGTGAATAGCACTTTCAATGTATAAATTGTACATGCAAACAAAATGGTGAGTTATATTTTTGCTTTCCTTTTCCCAAAAGGCATTCATTCACCCTACTTCTCTGCATAAATTTATTGAAAATAGAAAAAAATATGTATTTGCTGCTTTTTCCAAGTTTCACAGACTTAGAAATTTTTTATGCACATATGGCAATACACAAGAGACTCTTACAATATTTGAAAATTCAAGCTGCTATTCAAAAAATAGACATCTCGGGTAGTTTTTATGTGAAGACATTAACTGAGGAAGCAATATGAATTAGTTATAGCCTTCTTGCATTACATGGTATTATTTTATACCTTTATAAACACCAACAATACACATATAAAGGTTTGAGCTAAATTTCAGTTTGCCTTTTGCCTACGTTTTTAACATTTACATTATCAGCAACAAATTTCAAACACTTTTGTCCAAATGATTTAGGTAATTTTTAAGGTGTGCAGAGTTGTCATGTTTTATGTCCAAGTAGTTTCAACTGTTTGAATGTACTTAAGCTTCTTCTCAATATCTAGTGGGACACAGTAATGTAAAGCTGAATTTTACATTATTTTAATTGACTATTACTTTTCTAAATAAATATTTTTAAAGTCTATTAAAACTTATGTGATTTTAATTGTTGAAATGTTCAAATATGAAGTATGGTACAATGTTAAGCTGAAAGTATCAAGTCTTAGATGCATACATATCATTTAACTCAGAAGCTGCATATCTAGGATAATTTCTTCAGAAAATGACCATGGATGTGCACAAAGATTGAACCACTAGAATGATTTTTTAAAATTGTATAAACATATAATAAAAGGGAAGTTGGCAAAGAAGTTATATTTATGTACACACATACAAATAATATAGTCTTATATAGACAGTAAATAATGTTACAGGAAAAAATAGTTAAAGGAAAAAATAGATGTCAAGGATGTACTAGTAATTTAATTTTAATAGCATTACATGCAGTATGAAACTACTGTTGCATACATATTAATATATTTACTGTTTTTTGACACTCCATCAGGCACTAAGCCCTGTCGTGTGGGTTTCTGGTTTATTCTCTCTTTTCTATTCCTTCTTCTGTTTTTGTTGTGGTAGTGGTGGTGGCTGATTTTCTTCAGCTTTGCATTACTTCAGCTATTCTATTTCAAGTCTCATAACCTTCAAATCATGCTTCATACTGTCTGCAAAGAGCCCAGTTTTAAAACATAAATTTTATTGGGCCAGTTTGATGATGAAACATCTTTAATGAATATCTATCTTCTGTAACATAAAGTCGATTTTCTTTGTGTTCTACCTGAGCATGTCTGCAATCTGGCCCCTAACATTTTCTCTAGTCTTATCTCCAACCTTTGTTCCATTCATATGCAAAAATGGGATCCTCACACTGTTTACCAGCTTAAACTTTGAAATGTCTGGAATATTCTTTTTCCTTATTTTTATCTGATAAGTTTACTTTTTAAACTCCTGATAAATACGGAGAATATCCACCACATTGATCATTTAGCTATGTGAATGAAATGCTCTTGTTGTGGCTTTAAATAAAGGAACTATATATTCAGTAGTATTTCATATTTTTAATGTATATGGATAAAGTCTAATCTAACATTTCTTTAATTATGGTTAAAAGTTATACCCTGAGAGATCATCTGCTGATAAAATTATAACTTTTTTTTTGAGATGGAGTTTTGCTCTTGTTGCCCAGGTTAGAGTGCAATGGCGTGATCTTGGTTCACTGCAACCTCCGCCTTCTGGGTTCAATGATTCTCCTGCCTCAGCCTCCCTTGTAGCTGGGATTACAGGCATGCGCCACCATGCTTGGCTAATTTTGTATTTATAGTAGAGATGGGGTTTCTTCATGTTGGTCAGGCTGGTCTTGAACTCCCAACCTCAGGTGATCCGCCCGCCTCAGTCTCCCAAAGTGCTGGGATTACAGGTGTGAGCCACCGCGCCTGGCCAAAATTCTAACTTCAATCAGCATAAATAAAATATTAAATTCAAGGCTAGGCAAGGTGGCTCAAGCCTATAATTCCAGCACTTTGGGAGGCCAAGGCAGGCGGACCACCTGAGGTCGGGAGTTCGAGACCAGCCTGACCAACATGGGGAAACCCCGTCTCTCCTAAAAATACAAAAATTAGCTGGCGTGGTGGTGTGTGCCTGTAATCCCAGCTACTTTGGAGGCTAAGGAAGGAGAATCACTTGAACCCAGGAGGCGGAGGTTGCAGTGAGCCGAGATCACGCCATTGCACTCCAGCCTGGGCAACAAGAGCAAAAACTCCGTCTCCAAAAAAAAAAAAAAAAATTGAATTCAGGAGAAGAAATAACAATGAATTAAGTAATGAATAAGGAATATGTCTTAAACTTGAAAAGTATGTATAATCTTGAGAATTGTTTCAAGCTAAAATTTCCACATTTCTCTGTGTTAAGGGTAAATTTTCTAGCAAACAAATCCTGATAACCAATTACACACCAAATCAAAGATCAAAAGTACTAGATCATCCGGTTAGGATCTCTGTAAGCTTCATTTGAGTCTTCAGACCCCTCAGACCTATTATAGAATTTGCCCCATCACTTTTGTTTTTGGTAATTTAGTCAACTAAAAACTGAGGGATAAAAACTAGAAGGGGAGTTACGGAATACAATTTTTGAAATGCTTATCTTATGAAGAGACAGTTTAAGAGTTGAAAGATAATGGGTTTCCCCTCCTTGCAGCCTATCTATAAGAAGCAGCACAGCCTCAGTTACTTTCAGAGGAAATTATCAAAATATCATCTGCACAGAAGCAAAAGAAGGAAGGAAAAGAGTTTTAATAACAAAGTTTTATCCGTGAGGTTTGTTTCATTTTATTTCACTCATGCCAGATGCTCCCATTTAAAAATTAAATCTATATTTTAATATCTTATTTATAATATCTTTATTCCACTAGGCTTTTCTCATTCCTTTACTTCCTTTGAATTCCCTGATTTCAAATATTTTTAATTATATTGCTAAAAGATTTGTAAAATAGATTAGACAAAAATGCACGTCTAACAAACATTGTGTTACTTGTTTGTTTTAATATCACTAAGAATGAGCCACATTTTACAATATCATAACAGAAAAGAAAATATAACAATGTACTATTTTATATGAAAATGGCTCTTAATAAGACTGTTTAGCTAATACTTAAAATTTAAAAATAAATTGATAAGAATATATCTGTAGATTTTTGTTTTTGAAATCATACACTTTTGCTTACTTTCTGCCATCTGTGCATTACACAATATTTGTTTTTAATTTTGTCAATTAGTGTTAGAAAGTTTATGAAACTACATTGAAAAATCAGGGAGAGATCGTCCCCTAAAGGAGAAATAAGATATATGTGTGCGTATACACACACGTATGTAATATGTTAACTTATAAACTCACAACACATCACGATAATATTTATTTGGTATATGGAATTATCTACACCTGAGCTATAAACTAGTACAATTATTTTTAATTTTCTTAGTTGATAAGCTCCCTCAATTCAATGATAGTCTCAGGTAGTCACAGATTTGAGGATTAAATTGCATCGCTGTCAAGTCTTGGAGTGAAACAAGTAAGTATAGCCAGCTTACAAGTTTGACCTCTGCAATTACTGTTCATTTTCTAAGTTTCCTGGGGGTAAATGCATGTTAAATTGCCTTTTAGTGCTGGGAATGACTTTTACTTAGCCAAATTACTCTCTTTTGGTTCATCAGTTAAATATGTACTGTATATAATTTAGTAGCAAGAAAGTTACTCATTCCGACTTAAAAGTGTCCATCCTGGACATTGTTTGTGGCCAGATTCAATATCTTACATTATTATAAAAAATGTGTTTGTGTTACTAAAGTAGGCTTTTATATGCTTATCCTTTTTAATGAATTATTCAGGTCATCAAATGTAATTTTCAACTTGCTTAACCTAATTTAAGTCAGCATTTGTAGAATGTCACTTGGGTCAATACAAGCTCAGAAGGAAAAATTAAAAATCAATGAACATCATAGTGAACATTTTAATTTTCACTTTTTAACCTAATCCTTTTTCTGTATTTGGAGGACTGAATATTAAAGACCCATTTAAAAATATTTAGTTTTTCAGAAACGTCACTAATCTATACAACTATTTGCAATAACTACAGGGGACCGGTTGCACTATTTCCTGTGTCAACAGAAGATCTGACCTTGTTTTCCGATAGCTTAGAGATTAAGTGCAGCCCTAATAGAAGAACTGTACATCATTTTCAAAGGAAGGTTTTCTGGAGGATAATGCTGAGTTTACAGATTCCTACTGTGGTTGAACCTAGTGTCTATTTAATCTTATACTCCAGATGGCCTTTTGTGGCCAAATGACTGCAAATTTAAAAATCAAGAAATGTTTAAATGGAAAGAGTTGGCCTTGGTAAGGAAGATTGGAGATAGAAGGTTATTCATTTTTTTTTCTGTGAGTGAAGCAAAAGAATGCACTGCTATTATGAATGTTAGCAGATTTTAAGATCTTTATGGATAAATAGAAGGTATATATACATTTTAAATAAATAAAAATAATAAAAATATTCAATTTAATTTCTTTTCAGGAAGAATTTTCTAAAAAGAAAGCCTTATTTAATTCTACTCTGAAAGGCATTATTAGTAGATTGATTTGATGTAGCAAAGAATTTTTTACCATATATATGTATATTTCTTTCCAAATACATTTCAAGTAAACTGGTAAACTGATTTTGTGAAATAGCATTTATTCTTCCCAGAAAGAAACTAGGTTGATTGAGAAGAAAAAAATAAACTAAGAATGCCTGTACTTTTGCTTTCTCTCTGTACCTTCTCTACCAAAAGCACCAGGGAAGATTTATCAGAAAAGAATGGCCTTCTTCAGGAGTCATCACCACAAATACAGCTGGGAATGAGACGTATCTCTTGATTTACTTGTTAACATGTGTTCCAAAATGGATAACCATATGTGTCTGATCTGCAGAGTAGAAAACATTATGGCTAGATCTTGGAGTTAAAGTTTTTTAAAATGTACGATGGCTGGGTATATTTTGCAACCAGCATGTATCTACCTAAACATGTATACATTTGTATACCTATAAAATATAATCATGACTCCTTTAGATACAAATCTACATTTTTTGAAACAAATATTAAATCCTCAAATATGCCAGATGTGGAAAATAGAATAGCTCTAGAAAAGTTTGTCAATGCCTCCCATTACAATTACATATATTTGTCTTAATGTTTGTCCTGTCACTTCTCTGCTTAAAGTACTCCATAATTCTCCATTCCTCTCAGAGTAAATGTGAAAGTCTACAAAGGTCAATCTCATCTGAACTCATGGACCTCTCTGTCCTCACCTCCTACTAAACTATGCTTCCGGCCTCTTCAAGCAGAACCTTTGCATTTTGAACTTCCCTATACCTGATCATCTTTCCTCCAGATATCTATCTATAAAGTATATTCCTTCCTATCCTTCAGGATTTTGTTCAACATCAAATTCTCAAAGAGGCTTACTGCAACAAATTGAAAATTGTAACAGTTCCATACATACTTCCAATTCTCCTTACTCTGAACTACTCCTTCTATAGCATTTGAGTTCTGATATATGTAGTTTATTTATTTATTTATTTATTATGGCTGTTATTTGTTGCCAGTCTCCCTCTACTAGAAGATGAGCTCCATGAAGGCATGAATATATGTGTGTTTTTCTCATGAATACAGCCCCAACAGCTTGAATAGTGCCTGGCACATTACATACACTAACTGTTGAATGATCTTTAATTTAGACCCAAAATGCTTGGTTCTAAGATAGGTAAGACATGCTTAATCTGAAAAAAATGCTTTTCTCAATTTATGAAACTGTACATAAAATTTGTTCAAATGACTGAAGGGATATGTATCACAGAGGAATTCAGACATATATTTTGGGGCTCTTATATATTATTAAGATGTCTAATGAGTTTAGAAGAAATGATGCAATATGATTCTATAAGTACAAACTTGTTTTCTCAGCAGAATAAACTGGTCTTCTGGAAAGGTAACAAAGACATTTCACTTATTTCAAAACATGTTATGATGATGCAGGTATGACAAGTTTAACACTTCCTTTGTTTAAGATAGCATTAAATAAAGGAAGTTTGTTTCCAATGTAAAAATTAGTGTAGTTAATTAAGAGAAAATGTCAATAGAACTTAACATTGTCATAGGATAATGGTTCCTGCTGCTAGCTATATGTCAAGAGAAAGATAAATAAGATGGAGTGATTTATTAAGCAGTGCCACACTGCAGGCAATGCATTTCTAGAGGATTATAGCACTCCTTGGGTGGTGATGTAAGGCAGAGGACTAAAGGCTAAGTGGCCTTAACCCTTTAATCAGTACAACAATAGCACAGAAGCGTGGTACTTGTAGACAGTCCCTGCTGATATAGCAAAATGACTTTTATATTTAGAAGAGACTATAATGATATCAAAGAGGATCTAAGTTAGAAGAGAATGCCATCAACAATTCCTTATAGCTTTGTAGATAATTATGTGAAGAAGTCATACTATTTCAAAATTTAAAAGCCAACAAAGTTTGAATCACCTTTATATAAAATACAGACTTCTTAAAAATTACTTTAGGCAAAAATTGGTTGCTGATTTAGGAACTTGGTCATTGTTCTCAGCAAAATCGGTATTAAAACAGTATTTGGAAAAAACATCTAAAGATAATTTTCCTTTTCAATAATTTTAATAGTATAAATTATTTTCAGATTGTTTATATTAAATAATGTCAAAGATGGTTTAAATCCAGAACCAACTTTTGCAATCTGGCATGGCATGTTCTTCACTTCAAACTGAACTCAGAATACTATCATGAACTTTGATTTTCTCAGATCAAAGAAACAAATTTCACTGGTTACTGAGAATTTGTTTTCAGATCCGGCATGGTATATTTTAGTGTTGCAATAACATAAAATAGTGGGAATAGATACTTAGCAAGATTCTTTATATCTTTCTTACATGTTAAATTGTATTTCATAGGTATTTACAATATGTATTACATTTAAGTTTACAATGAAACCAGAGTTCAGTAATTCTGTTAAGCTTAAAGGCTTTCTTTCAATCTATATTTAACATAGGTTATGTTTCTATATAATTGACAAGACTGCTTTCAGTTTCATTA